>NC_000005.10:181327813-181478259 GCF_000001405.40 Homo sapiens | reverse complement strand
GATCTGAGAATTTGTATTCAAAATATATAAAAAATTGTTAAAACTAAACAATAAGTTAAACAGCCCAATTAAAAATGCACACAGATCTGAACAGACGCCTCATCAAAGAAGATCTACAGATGGCAAGTACACCTACAAAAAGATGCTCAACATACTAGAGAACTGAAAACCACAAAAAGATAGCACAGCTGGTCTATATCTCTTAGAACTGCTAAGCTCTTTAACAAATGACAAATTGCTGGAGGAAAAACAAGAACTCTTTTCATTGCCAGTAGAACACAGTGTATAAGACCAAACTATGCCACCCCAAAATATAATGGTAGGAAACCAGAATATGCAACCCCAAAATATGTCCCTTTGGCTTAAAAATTATTCCAAGCTAATTATTTTGAAAAAAAAAATGCTAACAAAGGAAGTTGTGAAAACAGAGTAAAAGTTACTTGTGTAAGGAAAATTTACACCTATAAAGGAAATCACCATTTAAAAGCTACCTCTCTCGACACCAAGAAGAGAAGGATAACTAAATCACTGAAGAGTCTTATCAATGGAGAATGCATGGACTTAACTCTGTATAATGAACCTTACCTCTGTCTAATGTGCTTTTGCTGGTTAACTTCCCACTACTGCACCTCAAATCTTCTTTCTTTAAGTTGAAGATAGTATTTATGCTTGAATTGAAAGCCACCTGTTGGAGATTTACTCATTTTTCCCTGAGTATATCCCATGTAACCATAAGATATACATGTTTTTAAACTTTTCTGTTTTTCTCATTTTAATCTGTCACTTTTTACAGAGCGTTCCATCTAAGAATTCCAAAAACAGAAAATTATTTTTCCTCCCCTATTACAAGTTGGGCATTTTTTTCCAAAGCTAAACAAGTCTCACCTTACAATCCAAAAATAACATTCCTAAGTATTTTGACAACTACTTTGATGTTATTTCCCATCAAAAGCTACCATGCAGTTATTTACAGAAGCCCTATTCATAATGACCAAAGGAAAAAAAAGGAATCAGAAAGTCTTACAATAGATGACTGTGTGGGACTCCACTCAGACATCAAAAGTTGTTATAAAGATTATTTAAATGAAAACATTTGAGATACTGAAGAAGAAGAAATCTTACCAGAACTTACTTTATCCAATTAAAGCAGAGCTCCCAGTAAAATACAGCTGCCATTAACCCCATCCAAGGAGTTTCTTGCAAATTCAGCTGCCATGAAGACAGCGTACTCTTTCGCATTAGCATTGATAAATGAAAATTAAATTCTAAGCTCCCAACTGACTGAACAGACCCACTCTTGGCTGAGGGGACCCCAGAGTAACTTTCAAAACTGAGTTCTCAGCTTTGCTAGGATGGGATGATGGGGTTAAGATACACATCGTTATACCCCCTCCTTTGCTAACCATGATGAGGCTTTCTTCCCTAAGGATTTAACAGAAACCAGCCCTTTCAAAGCCTCCACCACTGATATCAACCTCTCCTTTCTTGCCTGATAAGAGACCACCCACGATGGAGAGGTTCTGGCCAGCGTACAGAGGATGCACAGAGCGAGTTTTCATTTCCTCTGCTTCACCTTTTAATGTCAGAGGGCTGAAAACTCCACCCTGGGATCATGCTAACACTGCCATTTTTTGTACATGGGACCCATGAAGAAGCAAGAAACTCAATTGTGCGTGCATGCATTTCTCCTTCCATAAATATTCATGACTCCTCCTAGAGCTTATTAAATAAATCTATTTGGCCATTCCACTCAGCATAAATTGCTATTTCCTTTACCTCCTCCTTGAAACATCTGTTTCTGGCTTCTGGCTGGAGGCTATGCTTCCCAGCCTGTCAGAAGGACAACCCTGCAGGCTACAACCCTTTATAGAAAATAAATCTCTCACTGGGTGGGTGGCTCATGCTTGTAATCCCAGCACTTTGGGAGGCCGAGGTGGGTGGATCACCTGAGGTCAGGAGTTTCAGACCAGCCTGGCCAACATGATGAAACCCTGTCTCTACCAAAACTGCAAAAAATTAGCCAGGTGTGGTGGTGGGCATCTGTAATCCCAGCTAATCAGGAGGCTGAGGCAGGAGAATCGCTTCAACCCAGGAGGTGGAGGTTGCAGTGAACCAAGATCATACCATTGCACTCCAGCCTGGGCAACAAGAGTGAAACTCTGTCTCAAAAAAAAATAAAAATAAGCATAAAAATGAAGAAATGTCTCCTTTCCAAATTTATGAACCTCATCATTCTTCCGTTGACAGCATTAAAAGGTTCAAAAAGACCTTTCCATACTCTCCCACAGAAGCCCTAGAAATTGTCATTTTGTTAATCATTCTGGATGCCTGAGAACTTGTAATCCAATGAGTAGAAAGTTTGGTACCCCATTTATGGCTGTCAACCTGCCAGTTCTCAGGAGTTTGTAAAAGCCTAAATCCGAAAGGATCTCACCCCATTAGGACCCTTGTCTCCTTTTCTGTTGCCTTTGCCCACTGGCTCTGGCAACAGGGGTCTTTCTTTCTCCTTGGCTATCTTTGGATATGGGGGCTCCGTCTTCTGTGCCACCTTAGGGAATGCCTTTTGCAGGCATGGCTAAGTCATTAAAAAGCCTACAGTTTCAGTAACATTTTGAGTGAGTACTCTCTGAAGCTGCGTTGGAATCTCAGGCTTCTTTGTCTGGAAGATAACTCTTGGGCTACAAGTTTCTTATCCTAGCTTTGGTTTTGAGGCCTCTCTGTTCTCCTCTTGGGTTGGAAGTTATTCCTGGCTTTTTGTTTCAAGGTGTCTCTGTGATCTTGATCTTGCTGCTTTCATGGGAACTTCTCAGTTCACTAAATTCTCCCTTCTCCAACCTCTGCTGACTATGTGTTCCACCAATATGGAACTAATTCTACTTCTTTTCCTGTTTGCATGACTTTACTAAGAATTATTTACAACTTTAATGGCTCCTTTGAGAAAATTTTTATTTTCCAAATTGCCTCCTTTTAGACCTTTCCTTTCCCAGTTGAGTCTCTCAACTCCCTATAATCACTGAAACTTCAGGCACCCCACTCCATGCCTTGGAAGCTCTCAATGTGCTCAAGAATCTGCAAAAGCAAACACCTGGGGCTGAAGAATAAAATAGAAAAAAAATTATTTCTCAGCCTCCATAAGATTCTATGTCAAAAAAAAAGAAAATCTTTAAAATCTCCAAAAATATTGGTGAGAAAAAAGCCTTAGCCCTCATATGAAGAAGAAAAAACTTGTTCCATTTTCCAGATACATAGTTATAATACAAATATAAAATGGGGCAAAGACAAAAACCAAGTCTTCTATATAAAGTAGTGAATTTTGTAGTTATTGTAATCACATTAGGCAGGGGTCTCCAGAAAGGCAGAATCAATAGGATATATGTAGATAGATGAGAGAAGATTCATTAGGGGAACTGGTTCACATAATTATGGAGGCTGAGAAGTTCCACAATAGCCTGTCTCCAAGTTGGAGAACCAGGAAAGCTGGTAGCATGGCTCACTCCAGATACAAAGGACTCAGAATCAGGGAAGCCAATGGTGTAACTCTGATTGTGAGGCCAAAGGTCTGAGACCCTGAAGTTCTGATGTCAAGGGCAGGAGAAGAAGGATGTTTCCATTTCAGAAGGAGATAATTCACCTTTCCTCTTCCTTGTTATTCTATCTGGGCTCTCAACCAATTGGATGGTGCCTGTATTCATCCATTTTTATACAGCTATGAAGAAATACCTGAGTCTGAGCAATTTATAAAGAACAAAGGGGTTTAATGGGCTGACAGTTCCACATGGCTGCAGGGGCCTCACAATCATGGCAGAAGGGGAAGCAAAGCTATCCCTCTTCACATGGCAGCAACAAGAAGTGCTGAGCCAAAGGGGAAAAGCCCCTTATAAAACCATCAGATCATGAGAACTCACTCACTGTCATGAGAACAGCATGGCGGTAACCACCACCATGATTCAGTCACCTCCCACTGGGTCCCTCCCACGACATGTAGGTATTACAGGAACTACAATTCAAGATGAGATCTGGGTGGGGACACAGCCAAACCATATCAGTGCCCATCCACATTGGGTCATGGTTATCTCAGTGTCTTCCAGAAACACCCTCATAGATATGCCCAGAAATCGTGTTTGACCAGCTATGTGTGTCTCTTAATCCACTCAAGTAGATGTCTAAAATTAACTGTCAGAATATTTATGCCTGATTCATGGCTGAAATTGTGTTTGATCAGCTATGTGTGTCTCTCAATCCAATCAAGTAGATGCCTAAAGTTAACCATCAGAATATTTATGCCTGATTCATGGCTGAAATCGTGTTTGACCAGCTATGTGTGTCTCTTAATCCAGTCAAGTAGATGTCTACAATTAACCATCAGAATATTTATGCCTGCTTCATGGCTGAAATCGTGTTTGACCAGCTATGTGTGTCTCTTAATCCAGTCAAGTAGATGTCTAAAATTAACCATCAGAATATTTATGCCTGATTCATGGCTGAAATTGTGTTTGACCAGCTATGTGTGTCTCTCAATCCACTCAAGTAGATGTCTACAATTAACCATCAGAATATTTACGCCTGATTCATGGCTGAAATCGTGTTTGACCAGCTATGTGTGTCTCTCAATCCAGTCAAGTAGATGTCTACAATTAACCATCAGAATATTTATGCCTGCTTCACGGCTGAAATCGTGTTTGACCAGCTATGTGTGTCTCTTAATCCAGTCAAGTAGATGTCTAAAATTAACTGTCAGAATATTTATGCCTGATTCATGGCTGAAATTGTGTTTGACCAGCTGTGTGTGTCCCTTAATCCAGTCAAGTAGATGTCTAAAATTAACCATCAGAATATTTATGCCTGATTCATGGCTGAAATCGTGTTTGACCAGCTATGTGTGTCTCTCAATCCAGTCAAGTAGATGTCTACAATTAACCATCAGAATATTTATGCCTGATTCATGGCTGAAATCGTGTTTGACCAGCTATGTGTGTCTCTCAATCCAATCAAGTAGATGTCTAAAGTTAACCATCAGAATATTTATGCCTGATTCATGGCTGAAATCGTGTTAGACCAGCTATGTGTGTCTCTTAATCCAGTCAAGTAGATGTCTACAATTAACCATCAGAATATTTATGCCTGATTCATGGCTGAAATCTTGTTTGACCAGCTATGTGTGTCTCTTAATCCAGTCAAGTAGATGTCTACAATTAACCGTCAGAATATTTATGCCTGATTCATGGCTGAAATCGTGTTTGACCAGCTATGTGTGTCTCTCAGTCGGATCAAGTAGATGTCTGAAATTAACCATCAGAATATTTATGCCTGATTCAAGGCTGAAATTTCAGGATGAAAGCTATGAAATCTCTATTTGTGTTTGTATATCTATTAATGTATGTTATGTATATGTGATATTTTCTTAACTCCAGAGAGCATTGCAAAATTCATTTATGAAATCCTCTAAAAGTGCTCTATTCTAACTTGGCTTGGAAAAAAATAAGCATTTATAAATAAATATTCACCAAACTCCTAGAAATATAGGAACTGATCAAATGTTTCTTAAGTTAACATGATTTGGATAAAACTTAGTTAAATAAGATTAATATAGTATTTTTGGTGTAATAAAACAACTATATCTTCAAAATTATCATTATTGAATATAAAACAAGCATAAATTCCTATTCTGCTTGAGTTCTAGTCAAATAAGCTAATATTATACTTACTAGAAATGTAAAATCTTAAAGCTTATAGATTTGATTCTAATTAAGTTGTCATTCTTATGAAAAACATTATTTTTTTATGCTGAAAAAATACACATATATTTAGAGTTAGCCAGCTGGACTCAGTTTAGATGATCCCAATTTTGTTACAACATCGAAAGCATCATAATCAGGAGCAAGTCGAACATATGCCTTGTTCTCTTTATCAGGACAAATCAGGGTGGTGACCTTGGCCACATCACTGTCATAGAGCTTCTTCACAGCCTGTCTGATCTGGTGCTTGTTGGCTTTAACATCCACAGTGAACACAAGCGTGTTGTTTTCTTCTATCTTCTTCCGGCCGACTCAGTGGTCAGCGGAAACTTGATGATAGCATAGTGGCCAAGCTTGTTTCTCCTGGGGGTGCTCTTCCGAGGATATCTGGGCTGCCTCCGGAGTCGCAGTGTCTTGGGCCGCCTGAAGGTGGGTGACATGCGGATCTTCTTTTTTGCGTGTGGCTGCGGACACCTTTCAACACTGCCTTCTTGGCCTTTAAAACCTTCACTTTGGCTTCGGCTTTAGGAGGAGCAGGAGCTTCCTTCGCTTTCGGTGCCGTCTTGTGAAAAGCGAAAAACATTATTTCAAAAATAATTTGTCTACAGTAAATCTGCCTAAGAATAGTTTCCAAAGTACTTTTGGTAATTTTTAACCTTAAAGTTAAGCTAAGTAAAAGATTTGCATTAAATATCTAGACCATTTATAAATAAGATACAATACTAAAACATTAATTACTGAACATAAATAATTCAAGTTTATATACTTTTGGCTTCCTGTTTTTACAGAGAGACTAAAGATATTTTGGCCCGTTAATAAACATGTTTTTTTCTGCCACACTGAGGAATTGTATTATGAGGAAACACATCCCTCTAGATGTTGGGAGATGGTATATTCATACATTTTCTAACCTACTATAGAATGCTAATATATGACAGTTTATAACTGTCTACTTCCTAGTTTTCTCTGGAAAATAAAAGATTACTAAGTATTAAAATTATAATCAATATATGTAAATAAAACTACTAGAAATAATAGAATAACTAGAAACAACTCTATGCAAAGCATGCAAGAAAAGTAGGGCATGTTTCGCAAGTAAAGTAGGTTGCATTTTTTATAAGGAAAACCATACAGAAGATACAAATAAAAAGAGATACCTAACCTTCCCTGTGTTATATTTGTATGGGTAAAATGTTATGTTTTCAGAAATTATATAAAATTCCTGGAAGTTTGTCAATGTCCTCCTTATCCATGCTATGTGCCACTATAGAGTAATGAGTCATAATTCCAATTATTACTTTAAATGTTGTGCCAGGCACAGTGGCTCATGCCTATAATCCCAGCACTTTAGGAGGCTGAGGCAGGTGGATCACAAGGTCAGGAGATCCAGACCATCCTGGCTAACTCGGTGAATCTCCATCTCTATTAAAAATATAAAAAATTAGCCGGGCGTGATGGCAGGCACCTGTAGTCCCAGCTACTCGGGAGGCTGAGGCAGGAGAATGGCGTGAACCCAGGAGACAGAGCTTGCAGTGAGCCGAGATCGCACCGCTGCACTCCAGCCTGGGCGACAGAGCAAGACTCTGTCTCTAAATAAATAAATAAATAAATGTTGTCTGCCACAGAAAAAATCGAATATTTTGGTAGAAACCCCGTCTCTACCAAAAATACAAAAATTAGATGGGCATGACGGCATGTGCCTGTAGTCCCAGGTAATCAGGAGGCTGAGGAGGGAGGATCGTTTGCACCCAGGAGGTAGAGGTTGCAGTGAGCTGAGATTGCACCTTTGCACTCCAGCCTGGGCGACAGAGCCAGACCCTGTCTCAAAAAAAATTTTTTTAAAGGAAAACTATAGCCATTGAGAGTTATCAGATTCTAGTCTTGTTTCTTGTTTCTGGGCTATTTTTACCTCTTTGTAAACTGGATCCTGCCATCTGATGAATTTTGTCCCACAATGATACTTGGGGAACAAGAAGCCAAGTATTGTCTCTCCTACTAATGTATCTATTGTCAGTTAATTTGAAGGTCTCCAACCCTGGAACAAAGTTAGAAGAGGAAGGTTCTACTCCCCAAAATGCATAACCAAATTGTGCTACATTCATGTAATGGAATACTATTTAGCCATAGAAAGGAACAAGATATCAACACACACAAAGACATGAGTGAATCTTGCATGCACATTGCTAAGTGGAAGAAGACAGTCTGAGGAGGATACACACAGTGTGACCTCATTTAATGAGACACTGGGGAAGGCAAACTACACAGATGGGAAGCCATTGGCTCCATGGGGTGGGGGTTTGAGGCATTCCATATGATACTTTAATAGTGGGATATCTGCCACAATGCATTTGTCGAAATATGCAGAATTTTACAGCCAAATGGTTAAAGCAAACTCTATTCAAATTAAATCAAATTACTCAGGATGTGGAGTATCCCAGGACAGAATACATCATGTGAAAAAGAATTTATGCTATAAATTACGATGGTTTGGATGTGGTTTGTCCCCACAAAAACTCATGTTGAAATTTGACTCCCACTGTGTCAGTGTGGGGCGGTGGGGCCTAGTGGACGGTGTTTGGGTCGTGGGGACGGATCCCTCATGAATAGATTAATGTCCTCCATGGGGGTGAGTGAGTTCTGTTCTCACAGGAATAGATAATTCCTGCAGGAGTAGGTAATTAAAAAGAGTCTGGCTTCCTTGGCTTCCCTCTTGCTTTCACTTCTGCTATGTGATCTCTGGTGCACCCCTTGCTCCCCTTCCACTTTCCACCATGAGGTGAAAAAGACTGAGGCCCCGCCAGATGCAACTGCCCAATCTCGGACATTCCAGCTACCAGTATTGTGAACCAAATGAAACTGTTTTACTTATAAATTACGCAGCCTCAGGTATTCTGTTACAGAAGCACAAAATGGACTAAGACACAAATCTAGGTAAAAACTTTGAAAATGAATAGAATCTGTAGGCTGAAGGCACGTGAACTATACTTCATTATTGGATTCCATTTTATAAAGTTCTTTCCAACAGAAGCAATTGTGAACAATTGTAAAACCACAGTGTCTGTATCTGGAGTAAAACAATGACTTACATAAGTCGCAGATGGTGGGAACCAGCTTTCTCACTGTTGAAGTGGGAGGTTACAAATTAGCAAGACGAGAAGGCTAGAATGATTCCTGTGATAGTAGATCAGAGGTGGAGACATCAACGTAAACTTATGCTTAGTTTAATATAGATACACACAGTTCTACATAGAAAACTTTATAATTAGGTGTGTGTAGGTAGGTTAGACACGCACATATGCTTCCTAGCATTGCTAATGAGGGACAAGATACAATGTGCATTCAGCAGCCACATGTAAGTTTTCCCACCATTCTGAAAGGAATCAGGCTCTTTGAAGAAATGTCTGATACTAGAACTGGGACAGTAAATATAGGAGCCAGGATAATCTGGAAGTATCAGAAAGTAAGTACTAAAAAAATTAAAATATATCAAACAAAAATAAAAGCCAATAAAAACAGCTACCGATGGCCAACACAGGAAGGAATTGTGCAACATAATGCTATAGTGTCGAATAATAACTAAAGCTTAAAGTAATTATCTAGGTGTCTGTATTTGTATACCTAGGTGAATAAGCAAATGGAGTTGCATAGAAATCTCCTTTGCAAAAGAATTCCAAATAACTGATGTAGACACTCAGCCATCAAGAAGGTGGAGCCAACTCCTCACTCCGTAAGTGTGGGCTCTGCATAGTGACTTGCTCCAAAAGAACACATGCAGTATGGACAAGGAGGAAAAATAACTTCACAGTGGAGAAATCTGACAAACAGTAGCTCTGCCAAATGATCCAAGTGAACACCAAAGCTGACAGTTCACCTTGAGAACATGAAGTGACAATGGGGGACATTCTACAAAAATCCTGACCAATCCTCCTCAGTGCTATGAAGGTCATCATGAGATGGAAAGCCTAACACACTGTCACAGCCAGGAAGAGCCTATGTGATGACTACATGTCGTGTGGGATCCTGGATGGGATCCTGGGTCAGAGTAAGATAGAACTAAGGGAATCCAAATGAAATATGAACTTTAGTTAATAACAGTCTATCAGTATTGGTTCATTAACTGCGGCAAATTATGTAAGATATTAATAAGCCATGTGAGACACACTGATAGAAGATGTTAATAAGAGAGGAAACTAGGTTGCGGCTACATGGGAAATCTCTTTTTTTTTTTGACGATTTCTGTGTAAGTAAAAAAAAGACGTAAAATAAAACTTTATTTAAAACACTTTTTTTAACACTTCCTTGTTTAATTATTTATACCATGAATTACTAGTAATTGACACTGTTAACTAGTCCTGTTTTTTAAAATAAGAGCAATTATGACACAAAAAATTAAACAGTGCAGACTGATACATAAATCAAATGTTCTTTACATGTTTTCTGTTACTGTAGTAACACACATGTGTAAACTTAATTATCACATGTTTTTCTTGTGCTGTGGTTGTGTCCTGGGTTCATTCTCTAAAATGCTGTTCATCTTAGACCAGGAAAAATATTAACCATACAGACTCTGTTTCAAGTCATAGCTGAATATTTTCAAAAGAGTGACTTTGTAAAAACATGTTCCAATGGCAAATTGATTCATTGTGATGGGATCAATTATTCCAAAGACTTCTTGTCTTTATTTTGTTGCCATGCCTACCTTTTAGCCATGATACAACAGAATCAAATATTGGCCACTGGGAAAAAATATTCAAAGAAAGAAAGAATGTGAACAGAACTTGTGACCACGATGATTCAATGTTTTACCACAATGCTTTCTAAAACAAGAGTCTAAAAGGATATTCAAAGTCAATTTCCTCAGTGAGGCTTTGCAGAAAATGAGGAAACTAGAGAAACAAAAATGGCAGGACATTCTACGGTTGATTTTAAATGTTGCTATGTTTTATGGGAAAAAATACTTTACCTTTTAAAGAATCACAAAGAATTATTGGAAACCCAAACTCTGGAATGTTTGCAAATTTAGTTGAGCTTCTATGTAATTATGTCTATATAGGTAGCCATGAAGTTGATGATTTCTTAAAAATCTGTGCCTTATTTGTGTAATAAAAGACACAATGAATAATTAATACTCATAGGAACACTTACGAAGGGAAAATAAATCTTGGGGACTCAAAATCACTAAGCTAAAGGGAAAAGTCAAGCTGGGAACTGCCTAGGGCAAACCCGCCTCCCATTCTATCCAAAGACACCCATCTGATCACCGAGATAAATGCATACCTGATTGCCTCACGTGGAGAGGGTAATCAGCAATGCAAAAGAATGAAACCATTTGTCTCTTACCTACCTGTGACCTGGAAGCCCCCTGTCTGGCCTTCTCACCTTTCTGGACTGAACCAATGTACATCTTACACATATTGATTGATCTCTCGTGTCTCCCTAAAGTGTATAAAACCAAGCTGTGCCCCGACCACCTTGGGCCCATGTTGTCAGGATCTCCTGAGGAGGCATCACAGGTGCACATCCTCAAGATTGGCAAAATAAACTTTCTAAAAAATCTGAGAGCTGTCTCAGATTTTCAGGGTTCACACATGTAATGTAGGATGTCAATGTTTATAAAAGGGATGTTATTCTATCTACTATTAGAAATATGCTGTCAATTAACCTTAAACTTTCTCAACAAAATAAAAAATGTTGATGAGGTACAAATAATATATCTAAGCTTAAATAGTGTTGCAGGTTTTAATATGCCTACTTTTCAATTTTTCAATACTATCTTTACTAATTTAACACTGTAAGAAAAATGAGTAATTAAAACATGAATAAAAGTGTTTACAGGGGATGCACATGTTTCCTCCAGCCTCTGCCTATACCCAACTTTCATCCCAACTGTCCTGATGGTGGCTCTAAGCATTTCTCCTTTCTCTATACCAAGATCTCTCCCCAGAAACAAACCCAAATCTTACTATATGTTATGGCACGCTATGATGATGAGCAGCGATGAGCAGCCGAAGCCTCAAGGAAGGGATGCTTTTGTAAAACAAGACTTGTGGAATATAACATGTGAAAGTAAAGCCCACGGCAGAGCTCCCTCCTCAGCACACGGGGAGCAGACAGGAAGTTTTTCCTCACCTTCCTCAATGGCCTGCAGCCACGTCTCCCCAGGTCAGTCTTAAGGACAATGAAACTCTGGTCTTCACTGTGGACATGCCACACTACCAGGTGCTCCAAAGCCATGGTGACCCGTCCTCGGGTGGGTCCTGAGGAGAACAAAGCTCTGGTTCTAATCCTAACCCTAACCCTGTCCCAAGACTTTGACACTGAACCTAAATCCTGATCCCTATCCTGGTCCCTAATTCTGACCCTGACTTTGATCTCGACCCTGACCATGACCCCACCTCTAACCATACTTCTGGCCCTGACTCTGACCCAGATCCTAATCCTATCCCTAACCCTATTATTATCTTTACAATCTATGTCTAATCTTACCCTCTAGTGCTAAATAGCTGTACCCAAAAGCACTTTTAAATTATTTAACTTCTTTTCCTTGAATTCTCTAAGGACATCCTAAAGGAGATGTCAATATGTATTTTGCATTCCCTCTGAGTGGTATGGCTTCAGATAAGAAGTTCTAATACTTTGCAAGACATAAAAAGTTTGGAGGGTGACAGCACTGGGTTGTTAGGGATGCATGTTGGCATTCGTGGTAGTCATAGGTGCTGTTCTCCAGATATTTTCAGTTCATATTTTATGAATGCATTCTGACTGTTCCATCCCGCCTACTTACATTTTCACATGGCCACGTGACTTTTTTTTTGCCAATGGAGGTGAGAAGAAATAACATGTGACTTTTTCAGGAGAAATCTCCAAGAAACAGAGTTCTATTCCGCATACTTTTTTCTCTTTTCTATAGCAATGGGGATCTTACTGATTGTCCCTCCTTCCGTCTGGATTCCTGTGTTAGGATGACACAGCACAGAGCTACCTCTCACCTGACCCATGATGAAATGTAAATAAATGAGGAAGAAGATTTTTGAGCCACTGAAATTTGGAGGTTGTTTGTCACCACAGTTTAACCTAGCCCCCATTTACTGATGCACGGCTGAAGAATGAGTCCGAACTGGATCTAGACAAGACATGTGAAGAGCACGCCAGGCTGAGTAAAATTCAAGTGTTGTCTCAAAGATAACACTGAGCACGATATGTTATTGGGGTGGGTGTGGGATAAATAAGGTATATCAGGTGAGAATAACAAGAAACTCAACTTTAAAAGACGGTGCCGATTTGGAAGACACCAAATTGGAAGACAGCAGGAGCTGCCCCATAATACCAGTAAAGTGAGAAGCAGAGATAAACTAGTCCTAGACAGCTGACTCATGTTGGGGGCAGCCCACTCACAGTGACCCTGACCCAACTCTGACTAGAGGCCACTTGCTCTCAACACCAGGGTGCTCAATGGCCCGTCCTGGTACTCTGCTCTACACTGGTTGTAGGAAGGAATCTACAGGTTGAAATAAGGAGATCATTTCCCTGAGGTTCCGAAGCTCGTATTTACTCACCATTTGTTGTTTACTGCTAATGTTGAGCACTGTCAGTAAAATACATAAAACCCTTTGCCAATCCAGGAAGTGAAAATGACACTTTACTGTTTTAATTTGCATTTCTCTGCTTACAAGTGGATTACACACATTTTCATGTGCTGTTGGCTACTTATTCATTCAGAAAACATACTAAGTGCTGGCTCTTTTTCATGTCCTTTATCAAGTTTGGATCATGTCATTTGCTATTTTCTTTCTGATGTAAACTCTCAAAGTCTGAAGGGTATTGTCTTTTCCTGACACATATGTTGTAAATAATTTTCTGGCTTACATTTTGACTTTTAATTTCATTCACGATGTTTTTAATGAATAATTTTAATTTTTATGAATGCAAGTTAAAATAATTCTTTCATTGTGGTTTCTGACACGTCATGCCAATAAGGGTCTTCTCCTCCAAGAGCACAGAAATATTTGCCAATACTGTCCTTAAAATCGGTCACAGTTTCATTTTTTATATATGCATTTTACTTCAATTGGGGCTTCATTTTACTGAATGCCCTATTTGAAGCAAGTTTCTCAGTTAATTCTTTTCTCAAAGGGCTAAGTATGGTAGATTGCAAACATAAGTGGCCACATAATGCTCTCACCTCCTTTGCCTCCTCTCCCAGGAGGAGATAGCGTCCATCTTTCCACTCCTTAATCTGGGCTTGGCCGTGTGACTTGCACTGGCCAATGGGATATTAACAAGTCTGATGTGCACAGAGGCTGTAGAATGTGCACGGGGGCTTGGTCTCTCTTGCTGCCCTGGAGACCAGCTGCCCCACGAAGGAACCAGAGCCAACCTGCTGCTTCCTGGAGGAAGACAGTCCCTCTGTCCCTCTGTCTCTGCCAACCAGTTAACCTGCTGCTTCCTGGAGGGAGACAGTCCCTCAGTCCCTCTGTCTCTGCCAACCAGTTAACCTGCTGCTTCCTGGAGGAAGACAGTCACTCTGTCTCTGCCAACCCAGTTGACCGCAGACATGCAGGTCTGCTCAGGTAAGACCAGCACAGTCCCTGCCCTGTGAGCCAAACCAAATGGTCCAGCCACAGAATCGTGAGCAAATAAGTGATGCTTAAGTCACTAAGATTTGGGCAAAAGCTGAGCATTTATCCCAATCCCAATACTGTTTGTCCTTCTGTTTATCTGTCTGTCCTGCCCTGCTCATTTAAAATGCCCCCACTGCATCTAGTACATTTTTATAGGATCAGGGATCTACTCTTGGATTAATGTTGTGTTCCCACCTCGAGGCAGCTTTGTAAGCTTCTGAGCACTTCCCAATTCCGGGTGACTTCAGGCGCTGGGAGGCCTGTGCATCAGCTGCTGCTGTCTGTAGCTGACTTCCTTCACCCCTCTGCTGTCCTCAGCTCCTTCACCCCTGGGCCTCAGGAAATCAATGTCATGCTGACATCACTCTAGATCTAAAAGTTGGGTTCTTGGACCAGGTGTGGTGGCTCACACCTGTAATCCCAGCACTTTGGGAGGCCGAGGCGGGTGGATCACAAGGTCAGGAGATCAAGACGATTCTGGCTAACACGGTGAAACCCCGTCTCTACTAAAAATACAAAAAAATTAGCCGGGTGTGGTGGCAGGTGCCTGTAGCCCCAGCTACTTGGGAGGCTGAGGCAGGAGAATGGCTTGAACCTGGGAGGTGGAGCTTGCAGTGAGCCAAGATCACGCCACTGCACTCCAGAATGGGAGAGAGAGCGAGACTTTCTCAAAAAAAAAAAAAAAACTTAGGTTCTTGGATGTTCGGGAAAGGGGGTTATTATCTAGGATCCTTGAAGCACCCCCAAGGGCATCTTCTCAAAGTTGGATGTGTGCATTTTCCTGAGAGGAAAGCTTTCCCACATTATACAGCTTCTGAAAGGGTTGCTTGACCCACAGATGTGAAGCTGAGGCTGAAGGAGACTGATGTGGTTTCTCCTCAGTTTCTCTGTGCGGCACCAGGTGGCAGCAGAGGTCAGCAAGGCAAACCCGAGCCCAGGGATGCGGGGTGGGGGCAGCTACGTCCTCTCTTGAGCTACAGCAGATTCACTCTGTTCTGTTTCATTGTTGCTTAGTTTGCGTTTTGTTTCTCCAACTTTGTGCCTCATCAGGAAAAGCTTTGGATCACAATTCCCAGTGCTGAAGAAAAGGCCAAACTCTGGAAAAAATTTTGAATATTTTGAGCCAAATGTGAGGACCACAACCTGTGAGAACGGAAAATAAATCCTGGGACCCCAGACTCACTAAGCCAAAGGGAAAAGCCAAGCTGGGAACTGGCTTATGCAAACCTGCTTCCCATCTGGTTCCTAAATAAGATAGCTATTACACAAAGATAAAAAAGCTACATCCCTGCCTCTACCTCCATCACATGTAAAATGTGTATTCAGTGAACGCTGACCAAAGACAGAAGAATGCAACCATTTGCCTCTGATTTACCCACACCCATTTTTTCCACTTCTTCCCCTTTCCCCAACACCCACACTTCTCCCCTTTACTTACTGAGGTCCCCAGACAATCTTTGGGAAAAGCACGGACCACAGTTTTTCCTGTGGTTCTCTGTTCTTTTCTCAGGTGTGTCCTTAACCTTGCAAACAGATTTCTTGAAATGATTGACACTCACCTTGGTTGTGTTCTTTGATCAGCGCCTGTGACGCAGCTTCAGGAGGTCCTGAGAACGTGTGCACAGTTTAGTCGGCAGAAACTTAGGGAAACGTAAGACCACCATCAGTACGTAGGAGTTGTGCATTGGTTTGGTCTGGAAGGAGGAAAATTCAAAGTAATGGGGTTTACAGGTCATAGATAGATTCAAAGATTTTCTGATTCTCAATTGGTTGAAAGAATTATTATCTACAGACCTGCTATCAATAGAAAGGAGAGTCTGGGTTAAGATAAGAGACTGTGCAGACCAAGGTTCTTATTATGTAGATGAAGTTTCATAGGTGGCCACCCTTAGAGACAATAGATGGCAAATGTTTCCTGTTCAGACCCATAGAAGGTGCTAGGCTCTCAGCCAATGTCTTCAGGATCAGAGAAAGACCTGGAAAGGGAAGGGATTCTCTACAGAATGTAAATGTCCCCCACAAGAGACAGCTTGGCAGGGCCATTTCAAAGTATGTCAAAGAAATATATTTTGAGGTAAAATATTGATTTCATGGCCTCTGTCTGTCATGTGATGCTGCACTGGAATCAGGTTGGAATTTGGTATCTTATTGCTAGAGAGCCTTGTCAGTCTTCAGATCTCTGTTTTAATGTTGGTTCTGGTCAGTTCTGCCCAAATTCCAAAGGGAGGAGGGTACAATGAGGCCTGTCCAGCCCCCACTCCTCCTCATCACGGCCTGAACTAGTTCTTCAGGTTTCTCTGGAATCCCTTTGGCCCAGAGGCGGGGTCCACGCGATCGGCTGTGGGGCTTAGAATTTTATTCTTGGTTTACGGCAGCTTTAGGGAGGTGCTCTGAGACCCGAAACTAGACTCGACTTTAACAGACACAGACGACCCTGAAGGCGAGACTGTCTGCTGGTGGGATGCTGGGCGAGTTGCTTAATGTCCCTGAGCTGCTATTTGCTAACTGTGAAGTGGGATCCTGGTCCCTGACAGGCAAGATTTTGGCACACGGAGAGCTGGTGCACGTGGGCGGCTGTCCCCTAAACTCGCGTCCCTTCTTTTTAATCATACCCCACTGGCTGCACCTACACCTCCTCCCAGGCACACACCGAAGAGGATGAGCTCTGGTCCTCGAACCTCTTGTCTGCTCCCACCAGGCAGATTCTCTGTTCCCCGTGCCCAGGCAGCAGTGGTGGACACCAGCATCCCGGAATGGTGTAGAAAGGCTGACCCCATCATAGCCAAAGCCTGGGGTTTCCTGTTTCCCTCCTCCTCCTCCCCACTCCTCCCCCGACCCCTCCCTCCTCCACTTACCCCCATCCCCTGCATAATGGGTTTCTAGCTGCCTCCTCTGCCTGCCCAAACAGGACAGGCAGGAAAAACTGGCTTGGTTCTGAGTAGGCAGTTTCAGGGCCTTAAGGAGAAATTCATCGGCCATTAATCAGGACCTTCCCTCCGGGGAGTTGGCAGCTTCAGGTGTGGTCTCTGGAAACAAGCCCCACAAATTATTATCAGAGAACCTCTGTCTTGGGTGGCAGAGGCAGCCTGGTTGGGGTGGGCACCCCGGCTACGGAAAGGAGCAGCTCCCTCCACTTTCCTTCCTGCTGCATGTGGAGAGGCTCGAGCGGGGCACAGTCCATGACGAGATATTAATCTTGTGTTTGGATTTTTCCTTTTTTTTAATAAAGAAGAAAGATAAGGTATTGTGCTCATCTTGTAAAAATCAAGCACACAGTACATCAGTCTATTCTACAAAGAAACACAACCTAAGCAAAGATTTGTTATAGGCAGTGGCCAGTTACAGAAACAGTAGGACTTGCATTAGGGGTTTTGTATGGGAAAGAAAGGGAGTCAGACACAGACGTGATGGTGGAGACAGGGGCAGGAAGACAGAGCAGCTGACACTTCCAGAAATAGCTGGCCAGAGGCCAGCAGGAGGGAAACACCAACCCGAGGAAAGAGAGACGGGGATTGGGAGAGAAATTCAGAAGAGACTGAGGCACGCACACAGACAGACACACCCACCCACACACAGATACGGATTCAAAGAGACATGCACACTCTGAGTTTCTGAGAGTAAGCCACTGTCAGTTCCTGGGGTGAGCCACCAGCCACATGGACACAATTTCCTCTTTTTGGTAAGTCTTTGACCTGTCTGAACCCCCTACTTAATTACCTATAAAATGAGTCATTGCAAGGATGACAAAGACGCTCTCCTTGACCAAACTCCACTCAGGCTCCTTTGAGCCTTCTCCTTGATGAAGCCTCATCCTTGGCCTGCTGAGCTCAGTGCTAGCAAGGAATGCTGCTAAGGTCCTTAGTGAGAATCTTCCCCACCCTTGCTAACTAACCAAGCTCCTTTCAACAACTTTTCATCACCTCCCTCACCCTGCTCATTGGCTATCCCCACTTGTCTCTGTTGTATTGAGAGTTGAATTCAGTCTCTCTCTCTCCTCTTGCAATAGTTTTTTTTTTTTTTTTTAAGAGACAGGGCCTTGCTCTGTCAACCAGGCTGGAGTGCAGTAGCACAATCACAGCTCAGAGCAGCCTCAAACTCCTAGGCTCAAAGGATCCTCCCACCTCAGCCTCCTGCGTAGTTGGGACTACAGGTGTATGCCACTGCACCAAATAATTTTTTAAAACATTGTAGAGATGGGGTCCTGCTTTGTTGCCCAGGCTGGTTTTGAAGTCCTGGCTTCAAGTGATCCTCCCACCTGGGCCTCCAAAGGTACTGGGATTACAGGCATGAGCCAACCTATCAGCCTGGTAATCAGCCTGGTAATCACGTAAAACAGACACATAGACCAGTGGAACAGAATAGAGAACCCAGATATAAATCCACACATTTACAGCCAGCTCATCTTCAGCAAAGGCACCAACAACATACGAGCGAAAGGACGGTCTCTTCCATAAGTGGTGCAGGGGAAACTAGATAAAGATATGCAGAAGAATGAAACTAGACCCGTCTCTCTTACCATACACAGAAATCAAATCAGAATGGATTAAAGGTAAAACTGAGACCTGAAAGTATAAAACTACTGGAAGAAAACATTAGGGAAGTGCTCCAGGACATTGTTCTCAGCAAAGACTTTTTCAGTAGGGCCCCAAAAGCACAGGCAACCAAAGCAAAAACAGACAAGTGAAATCACACCAAGCTAAGAACCCTCTGCAGACCAAAGGAAAAAGTCAACAAACTGAAGAGACAACCCACAGAATGGGAGAAAATACTTGCAAGCTACCCACCTGAAAAGGGATTCATAACCAGGAGCTCAAACAATAGCAAACAATTAATCGAATTTTAAAATGGGCAAGAGACCTGAGTAGACATTTCTCAAAAGAAGATGTACAAATGGCCAGCAGGTACATGAAAAAATGCTCAACATCACTAATCATCAGAGAAACGCAAATAAAAAACTGCAATGAGGTCTTCTCTCACCTCAGTTAAAATGGCTTTCGTCAAAAACGCAGGGAATAAGGGATGCTGGCGAGGATGTGGAGAAAGGGGGACCCTCACACACTGTTGTGGGAACGTTGATTAGTACAACCACTATGGAAAACAGATGGAGGCTCCTCAAAAAACCAAAAGGGGCCGGGCACGGTGGCTCACGCCTGTGGTCCCAGCACTTTGGGAGGCCAAAGCAGGGGGATCACAAGGTCAGGAGTTTGAGACCAGCCTGGCCAACATGATGAAACCCCATCTCTACTAAAAATATAAAAAATTAGCCAGGCGTGGTGGTGCGACCCTGTAATCCCAGCTACTTGGGAGACTGAGGCAGGAGAATCACTGGAACACAGGAGGTGGAGATTGCGGTGAGCGGAGAGCGCACCATTGCACTCCAGCCTGGGTGACAGAGCAAGACTCCTCCTTAAAAAATAAATAAATAAATAAAAGTTGGCCGGGCGCGGTGTCTCACACCTGTAATCCCAGCACTTTGGGAGGTGGAGGCGGGCGGATCACAAGGTCAGGAGATCGAGACCATCCTGGCCAACATGGTGAAATCCCGTCTCTACTAAAATACAAAAAATTAGCTGGGCGTGGTGGTGCGCACCTATAAATCCCAGCTACTCGGGAGGCTGAGGCAGGGGAATCGCTTAAACACAGGAACCCGGGAGGCAGAGGTTGCAGTGAGCCAAGATCACACCACTGCACACCAGCCTAGTGACAGAGCAAGACTCCATCTCAAAAAACAAACAAACAAAAAAAAAACCATCTAAAAGTAAAACTGCTGTATGATCCAGTAATTTCACTAACTGGGCCTATAGTCAAAAGAAACAAAATCAATATATCGTAAAGACATCTGCACTCTCATGTTTACTGCGGGACTACTCACAATCGCCAAAATACGGAATCAGCCTCTGAGTTCATCAGCGGATGATGGATAAACAGAACGTGGTGTGTATACACAGTGGAATATTATTCAGCCATACAGAGGAACGACAGCCTGTTATTTGTACAAGATGGAACTAGGGATCATTATGTTAAGTGAAATAAGCCAAGCACAGAAAGACAAACATTGAATGTTCTCTCCCACCTACTAAAAAAGTAGCTCTCGTGAAGACAGAGGGTAGACGCGTGGTTACCAGAGGTGGGGAAATGTAGCGGGGAGAGGGGGAGAAAGAGAAGTTGATTGAAGGGTACAAATACGTGGTTTGATAGAAGGAATAAGACCTAGTGTTACATAGATCATAGTTGGCAATTGCCTACTGTATATTTCAAAATGGCTAGAAGAGAAGAATCGGAACGGTTCTAGCATAAAGCAAAAACAAATATTTAAGGCGATAGATATTCCAAGTAGGCTGATTTGATTTTCACAATTATATGAATGCATTAAACTATCACATGTACCCTGAAACTATGTACATCTATTATGCATCAGTGAAAAAGAAAAAAGAAACAAGAACTTAGATTTTAAACTCAGCACTCTCCTAGTGGGCTCCTTAAAAATATTTTTGTTTGGGAGGACAAAGTAGGAGGATTCCTTGAGCCCGGGAGCTTGAGGCTGCAGTGAGATAGTGCCACTGCACTCCAGCCTGAGCGACAGAGAGATACACTGGCTCTAAATATAAATAATATAAATATATATTTATGGAATAAATAAATGAATAAAATATCTTTGCATGCTGGTGAGCCCAGGGTACAGTCTGCCCTTGGCAGCTCGGTGACTCAGCCAAGGCGGCTAAACAATCCTCGCCCACTAGACAGTGGAGGTCGCCCTCCAGAGGACCTTATCAGATGTACGTGCAAAGCAGTTTTCAAGACAGTTTTCTATTCAGAGTGTGGTTTAGCCGTTCAGGGAGAGAGATCACAAAGGAAAACCACCTTTAGGAAAGCAGGTGAGAAAGGTGTAAGTTCCCAGGCTTGGGGGTCCTGGCCCAGCCTAGCTGTGGGCAACCCCGGGAAGGCTGAGCCCCGCAGGCTGTATGGACAAAGCATCTCGCTTTCCACACTGGCCACAGGTCTATCCCTGGCAGTAAACAGGTCACAGGTGGGCAGCAGGTCTAACACCTGTAGCGAAAGAACGCAGGAGAGGAACTGAGGCTCTGCTACCAGCAGATGCTCCAAGCACATCCCACGGGGAGGACCATGAACAACTCAGCTGGCCACAACCAGGAAAAGGGTGTCCAGGGCCTCAGAGCTGCTTCAGTGGGGCCATTTCCAGGCTCCCAAGCAGTAATGTGGGTGCCCTCTCAAGAACAGAAGCGGAACAGCCTAACGCTAATGTTTGGGAAGAAGAGAACAGTGATCCCCCTGGTTACCTCCCATCTCTCTCTGCAGTTCTCATGCATCTGTGCACACACGCTCACACACACATATGTCCATCAATCCACTCACAATGTTTGACTTAAAGCAGAAACCATATAAAGGGCAGGATAAGGAGAAAAGACGAAAGGAACTGAAAAGATGCAAACAGCCACTAACACGCCAATTTGCACCTTGCACAGGGCCTGGGAAGTAATGACACGGCTTCTCGTTATGCATCAATGATCTCATGTTTTCATTTTAACAAACACCCTAATACAAAAATAGGCTTTATAGGGAGGAGAGAAAATATGTTTTATAGGGAGGAGAGAAAAGCCATTCTGAAGAGCTGGATAGGTTGCCTTTGGCCCACATGGAGTCAGCCCCCTGCCCACGCCACCAGGCTCACGTTCAGGGCCCTGGCTGGAGAAACCTGAGCTGCAGGACCCGCTGCCCACCAATGCAGAAGAGAAGGCAGTATGCTTTTTGCATTGGGTGGAACAAAAACAGAAGAAATGGGAATTTGGTGAGAAATAAGGGAGGTGGTCCTCAGAATCTGCAGAGCAGTGGCTTCCAAACTCTGTGATGCAACCCCAGCCAGAAAAACACTTTACATCATGGCTGAGGGCACATACATGCACGCACATATGCACAATACAGGAAATCTGGAATACAGAAAGCCCTGGAATTCCTAAATAACATCCTGCCCACATGGGAATTCTGCCCTAGCTGATGGCTTCTCCGAGGCCTAGGCCCAAATCCACACCTGCTGTTTAGCCCAGAGCCAAGCCTAGGAGTGTAGGGTCCCCTATGCATGGGTGTCCAACCCCATCCCTGTCCGGAATAGCACGGGTGCTTCTCGGTGCCACAAATGTTGGTGGCGGCTGGGGAGGAGTGGTTCCTCCAAGGCTCCATGCCTGCCTCCACCACTGAGGCCAGCACGGTGGGACTGGGCTAGGGAGACAGGCAGGCTGGCCTACCCACTGAAGGAGCCAGTCTGCTTCCACCTAGTCAGCAGCTCCAGGGAGCGCATCTCCCTCCAGGAAGGGCAGGAGGCCAAGAGGAGCTGGAAAGGTGGGCATTTGATATCATGAGGTATAAAGAGAGCTCCTAGGGGTCCCAGACATCAACTAATAAAAGCACCTCAGAAGTTCATAGATGGGGAAATAGCTGTGTGAATATACCGTGTTATCCAAGTCATGCGGAGAGGAAGGGCTCGAACCCATGGCTACTACTCCCCACCCCCGTCCTCCTCCTCCTCTTTCCATTAAGTTTTTGTGATTATGAAAGTAGCTTACATTTGGTGTAGAAAATATGGAACATATGGAAAAATTTAAAAAGACTCAGGCAAAGGGTCATGTGTCACTTATGACCAGAGGCCGTTGCTCTTTATTAACAGATGGAAACGTTTTCTTCCAAATTGTGCTGCACGTTTTTGGCGAGAGCATGGGGCTGTGCGGCGTCCCCTCCCTGGCGCCCACCTGTGCCCTGCACACTGGCCTGCACTGTGGTGATCTCGCTTGGCCCCCACCTGATTCCCGACATACAGCAGAGGAACCTTAGGCTCAGGTGGAACAGCCTCAACTGATTCTGTCCCTGAACTTCCGTACACAGCCCTGGAGTCGTCTTAGAGCCATGATTTATTTAACTGTTCTTTCATTTTACAGAACATAAAATGTATTGTTTCCAACTTTTTTCCTATGGTAAATAATACTAAAGTAAATATCTCTGTGCATGAATCTTTTTGTATATGTTGGAATATCCTTAAGATAAGGCCCCAGAACTAAAAGTACCCTGTCAAAAGGTGAGCATTTCCGGTTCCCCTGCTGTGCTTTGCTGCGTTGTTCTCTCCTGCTGCAACGTTCTCACTCCACAATCCTGGGGCAGGGAGGGGAGGCCCAGCTGAGTTTGGATCATAATCCTGAAAGACACAATCCCAAGCACCATAATGTGGAATGTTGAAATCCCTAAAGATCAAAATCCCTCAAGTCTAAAATCCCTGATATTTCAGATGACCACAGCTACAGGGCTAGGTGCACACAATTAGTAACCGTAGCGATATACGTGTACACGTTTCTCTTTTGACTTATTTCTTTATGGTCTGTCTTCTTATAACTGCTACACCCATGCCGCCGTCGTTAGTTACCTCAGTGTTTATGCAAAAATACCTGTTATCATTGCCTATTTTATTGTGTAAAGTGGCCTATGAAATGTTCTGTTGTGTTTTTATGTTTCTCAAATACATACCTTTTAAAAATGTAAATAAATAACATCGACATTATTTTTTCCAGATTTATACTTTTGGGATTTTGATCTTTGGGATTTCAGGATGAGGTATTCGGAGCTGTGTCTTTGGGGATGATGACTGGCTCCTGTGCCGTCCCACCCATCTTTGCGGCATGGGACCTTGGCATCCCCACCTCGGCCCTGGCTCTACCTGACCTCACAATGGACCAGGCCAACTCAGTCAATGTGGAGGCAGCATCAGGTAGACCTGGGGCTGAAACTCAACACTGGTGTTCACCTTGACCTAGCTTCTCTGAGCCTCAAGTTCCTCATCTGGACACCAGTGGGGTTAGGGGCTGAGGCACATCAGCACTAAGCAGGAGAGCTCATCGTTGCCATGCATCAGCTGTGGCTCTAGAGCCGAGACGCTCCCAGCCGTGTAGGCTTCCCAGCAGTGCAGGCCCCTCTCTAGAGCTGAGATGCTCCCGGCAGTGCAGGCCCCTCTCTAGAGCCGAGACGCTCCCAGCCGTGTAGGCCCCTCTAGAGCCAAGACGCTGCAGGGTTAATCAGGGCTGCCCAACAGTCCATCCCCTCTTCTCTCTCTGAAATCAAGAAACATTCCAAATTCCAAAATGCAACTGGTCCCAAGTGTTTCAGTTAAGGGACTGTGGCCCTGTGTAATGCCAGGCAGTGACAAGGACTGTGACTGGGAGCCATCGTAAGTCGATGCTGAATGCCAAAGGGAGGAAAGGAGGCAGCGGTCCTTAAAGGGCCCACTGAGCTCAGATCCCACGCCTGAGCCTCCGCCTCTCCGTGCAGTCCCGGAGATGGCACACAGCCTTCTGCACGAACCGCAATGAGCTGGGCTCCCTCATCACCGCTAGGAGCACTCTGAGAAAGCAGGGCCCTTCCACGGGGTTCTGCAGGAGAACGGCGAAGGGTGCTGTTCAACCTGCTCAGTCAGTTGCTAGGTGAGGAGAATTTAGTATTCATAAGTGAAAATTTCTAAGTTACTGGAATTAATTATGGGGTTTGATTCTACATCATCCAGAAAAGCCTGGATGCCACACAGACTCAATGCTGAAAGCTCCCAGTGCACCTGCACAAACACACCCACACATGCACCCATATCATATACACACGTGCAAACATGTTCACATTCACACTCACTCCTACATACTCGGATCATATACACATTTGTGCACACGTGTTCATATTCACACTCCTACACACCCAGATCATACACACATACACACACTTGTGCATACACATTCATGCTCACTCCCACACACCCAGATCATATACACACTCGTGCACACATGCTCACATTCACAATCACTCATACCCAGATCATACACACACTTATGCACACATTCACACTCACTCATACATACACAGATCATATACATACTTGTGCATACGTGTTCGTATTCACACTCCTACACACCCAGATCATACACACATACACACACTTGTGCATACACATTCATGCTCACTCCTACACACCCAGATCATATATACACTCGTGCACACATGTTCACATTCATGCTCACTCATACACACCGATTGTACACTCGTGCACACATTCACACTCATACACACCCAAATCATATATTCATGCACACATGTTCACATTCATGCACACATGTTCACATTCATGCTCACTCATACACACCCAGATCATATATACACTCGTGCACACATTCACACTCATACACACCCAAATCATACTCACATTCATGCACACATGTTCACTCATGCTCACTCATACACACCCAGATCATATATACACTCGTGCACACATGTTCACATTCACTCATACACAGCCCAAAATATACACATTAATGCACACAATACATATTCATACTTGCACACACCCAAATCATATACCCACTCACACACACATGTTCACATTCACACTCATACACACTCAGATCATAAATACATATGTACACATTCACATTCATACCC
The DNA here is from genome assembly GCF_000001405.40 of Homo sapiens. NCBI lineage: Eukaryota > Metazoa > Chordata > Mammalia > Primates > Hominidae > Homo > Homo sapiens. The sequence continues at coordinate 181,452,425 of NC_000005.10, read as the reverse complement.
CCAAATCATACGCACACTAGTGTATACATGTACACACTCACACACACAAATCATACACACTCATACACACAGTCATACACACTCACACATACCCCCAAATCATATACACACTCATGCACACCGTCACACATATAATCCAAACACACAAAAATATATGCATGCGCTCATTCATACACAATCTCACACATACATATACAGCCATGTGGGATTTTTCTGCCATTTTCAGAAATGTAAATTTTGTAGTTCCTGCTTTTTAAAGACTATAAATTATTTTTAATTTACCTTCATTCTCAATTTTGTTTGTTATAAGTAGCTTGATTGTCATACAGCATCCAACGACGCATATTTCCTTTATTTTTTTTGAGATGGAGTCTTGCTCTGTCACCCAGGCTGGAGTGCAGGGGCGCGATCTCGGCTCACTGCAACCTCTGCCTCCCGGGTTCAAGTGATTCTCCTGCCTCAGCCTCCCGAGTAGCTGGGATTACAGATGCCCATCACCACGCCCAGCTAATTTTTGTATTCTTAGTAGAGACGGGGTTTCACCATGTTGGCTAGGCTGGTCTTGAACTCCTGACCTCATGATCCACCTGCCTCGGCCTCCCAAAGTGCTGGGATTACAGGTGCGAGCCACCGTGCTCTGCATATTTTCATGTTAAAAATGTTTTATTTAAAAAAAAAAAAAAGATGTCCAGAAGAGTTGCAAAGACAGTACTGCAACTTCCCACAGACCCGTTCACCAGCTTCCTCTCACTTGAGCATCTTACACAGCAATGATGCACGTGTGGAAACTGCGACACTCACACGGGTGCCATCTCAGCAGCTCACGGTGTGGAAACTGCGACACTCACACGGGTGCCATCTCAGCAGCTCACGGTGTGGAAACTGCGACACTCACGTGGGTGCCATCTCAGCAGCTCACGGTGTGGAAACTGCGACACTCACACGGGTGCCATCTCAGCAGCTCACGGTGTGGAAACTGCGACACTCACGTGGGTGCCATCTCAGCAGCTCACGGTGTAGAAACTGCGACACTCCCATGGGTGCCATCTCAGCAGCTCACGGTGTGGAAACTGCGACACTCACACGGGTGCCATCTCAGCAGCTCACGGTGTGGAAACTGCGACACTCACACGGGTGCCATCTCAGCAGCTCACGGTGTAGAAACTGCGACACTCCCATGGGTGCCATCTCAGCAGCTCACGGTGTGGAAACTGCGACACTCACACGGGTGCCATCTCAGCAGCTCACGGTGTGGAAACTGCGACACTCACACGGGTGCCATCTCAGCAGCTCACGGTGTGGAAACTGCGACACTCACGCGGGTGCCATCTCAGCAGCTCACGGTGTGGAAACTGCGACACTCACGCGGGTGCCATCTCAGCAGCTCACGGTGTGGAAACTGCGACACTCCCATGGGTGCCATCTCAGCAGCTCACGGTGTGGAAACTGCGACACTCACACGGGTGCCATCTCAGCAGCTCACGGTGTGGAAACTGCGACACTCACACGGGTGCCATCTCAGCAGCTCACGGTGTAGAAACTGCGACACTCCCATGGGTGCCATCTCAGCAGCTCACGGTGTGGAAACTGCGACACTCACACGGGTGCCATCTCAGCAGCTCACGGTGTAGAAACTGCGACACTCCCATGGGTGCCATCTCAGCAGCTCACGGTGTGGAAACTGCGACACTCACGCGGGTGCCATCTCAGCAGCTCACGGTGTGGAAACTGCGACACTCACGCGGGTGCCATCTCAGCAGCTCACGGTGTGGAAACTGCGACACTCACGCGGGTGCCATCTCAGCAGCTCACGGTGTGGAAACTGCGACACTCACGCGGGTGCCATCTCAGCAGCTCACGGTGTGGAAACTGCGACACTCACGCGGGTGCCATCTCAGCAGCTCACGGTGTGGAAACTGCGACACTCACGCGGGTGCCATCTCAGCAGCTCACGGTGTGGAAACTGCGACACTCACGCGGGTGCCATCTCAGCAGCTCACGGTGTGGAAACTGCGACACTCACGCGGGTGCCATCTCAGCAGCTCACGGTGTGGAAACTGCGACACTCACGCGGGTGCCATCTCAGCAGCTCACGGTGTGGAAACTGCGACACTCACGCGGGTGCCGTCTCAGCAGCTCACGGTGTGGAAACTGCGACACTCACGCGGGTGCCGTCTCAGCAGCTCACGGTGTGGAAACTGCGACACTCACGCGGGTGCCGTCTCAGCAGCTCACGGTGTGGAAACTGCGACACTCACGCGGGTGCCGTCTCAGCAGCTCACGGTGTGGAAACTGCGACACTCACGCGGGTGCCGTCTCAGCAGCTCACGGTGTGGAAACTGCGACACTCACGCGGGTGCCGTCTCAGCAGCTCACGGTGTGGAAACTGCGACACTCACGCGGGTGCCGTCTCAGCAGCTCACGGTGTGGAAACTGCGACACTCACGCGGGTGCCGTCTCAGCAGCTCACGGTGTGGAAACTGCGACACTCACGCGGGTGCCGTCTCAGCAGCTCACGGTGTGGAAACTGCGACACTCACGCGGGTGCCGTCTCAGCAGCTCACGGTGTGGAAACTGCGACACTCACGCGGGTGCCGTCTCAGCAGCTCACGGTGTGGAAACTGCGACACTCCCGCGGGTGCCGTCTCAGCAGCTCACGGTGTGGAAACTGCGACACTCACGCGGGTGCCGTCTCAGCAGCTCACGGTGTGGAAACTGCGACACTCACGCGGGTGCCGTCTCAGCAGCTCACGGTGTGGAAACTGCGACACTCACGCGGGTGCCGTCTCAGCAGCTCACGGTGTGGAAACTGCGACACTCACGCGGGTGCCGTCTCAGCAGCTCACGGTGTGGAAACTGCGACACTCACGCGGGTGCCGTCTCAGCAGCTCACGGTGTGGAAACTGCGACACTCACGCGGGTGCCGTCTCAGCAGCTCACGGTGTGGAAACTGCGACACTCACGCGGGTGCCGTCTCAGCAGCTCACGGTGTGGAAACTGCGACACTCACGCGGGTGCCGTCTCAGCAGCTCACGGTGTGGAAACTGCGACACTCACGCGGGTGCCGTCTCAGCAGCTCACGGTGTGGAAACTGCGACACTCACGCGGGTGCCGTCTCAGCAGCTCACGGTGTGGAAACTGCGACACTCACGCAGGTGCCATCTCAGCAGGTCACGGTGTGGAAACTGCGACACTCCCGCGGGTGCCATCTCAGCAGCTCACGGTGTGGAAACTGCGACACTCACGCGGGTGCCGTCTCAGCAGCTCACGGTGTGGAAACTGCGACACTCACGCGGGTGCCGTCTCAGCAGCTCACGGTGTGGAAACTGCGACACTCCCGCGGGTGCCATCTCAGCAGCTCACGGTGTGGAAACTGCGACACTCACACGGGTGCCGTCTCAGCAGCTCACGGTGTGGAAACTGCGACACTCACGCGGGTGCCGTCTCAGCAGCTCACGGTGTGGAAACTGCGACACTCACGCGGGTGCCGTCTCAGCAGCTCACGGTGTGGAAACTGCGACACTCACGCGGGTGCCGTCTCAGCAGCTCACGGTGTGGAAACTGCGACACTCACGCGGGTGCCGTCTCAGCAGCTCACGTCCAGGACCCCAGGCTGCACTGGCCCTCACGCCTCCTTAGTCCCCTGCACCTGTGACCCTTTCCTGGCCTGTCTTCGTTTCACTGCCTTGACAGCTTTGCAGAGTGCTGCTCAGGTATTCTGCAAGATGCCCCTCAATTGGTGTGTGTGTGATGTTCTCTCTGATTACACTGGAACTGTGCGTTTGCGGAAGAACACGGCAGAGGTGGAGCGCTCTTCTCATCACGTGCTCTCAGGGGCCACGATGTCAACATGCCTCATCACTGGTGGTCTGGACCTTGATCACACGGCCAAGGTGAGGCCTGCCAGGTCTCCCCACGGGAGAGTGACTGTTTTCCTCTCCATGTCCTGCTGGTTAAGAGTGAGTCATGAAGTCCAGCATGAGCTCCAACTCCCACAGGAAGGAGCATCAAAGAATTTGGGCACCATGGTAATTACTGAACATTTAGGGGAGACACTTTGACAGTATACAAATATCTTCTTTCTCCTTAAACTTTGCACAGGAATTTTAGCATTCCTCAGGGGAGCTTGCCTGCAGCACTGATGGTGATTTTCTTTTTTTTCTTTTCTTTTCTTTCTTTCTTTCTTTTTTTTGAGACAGAGTTTTGCTCTTATTGCCCAGGCTGGAGTGCAGTGGCACAATCTCAGCTCACTGCAACCTCCCGGGTTCAAGCGATTCTCCTGCCTCAGCCTCCCAAGTAGCTGAGATTACAGGCATGTGTCACCAGGCCCAGCTAATTTTGTATTTTTTTGTAGAGACAGGGTTTCACAATGTTGGCTAGGCTGGTCTCGAACTCCTGACCTCAGGAGATCCACCTGCCTCAGCCTCCCGAAGTGTTGAGATTACAGGCACGAGCCACTGTGCCCAGCCTGATGGTGATTTTCCCTATTTACTCCACATTTCTTGTTTGGAATTTGTTCCAAGAAAGGCCTGTCCCTTTCAGTTTTTTGTTTTGTTTTGTTTTGTTTTGTTTTTGAGACAGAGTCTTGCTCTGTCACCCCAGCTGGAGTGCATTGGCGTGATCTTGGCTCACTGCAAGCTCCACCTCCCGGGCTCACACCATTCTCCTGCCTCAGCCTCCCGAGTAGCTGGGACTACAGGCGCTCGCCACCTCGCCCGGCTACCCTTTCAGTTTTAATTTATTCAATAATTTATTTATATGCTTACAAATCCATGGACATTCATTTTATTCTTTGGGGCATAATCCGATTTGTGTGTGTGTGTGTGTGTATGTCTGTGTGAGTGTGTGTGCACTCAAATCATTGTAGCTGTGGCCACTGGGAGCTCTTACATTTTGGGTTCCATGCCCTTTTGAAATGCCCACAGCTTTTTAAAAATTTTATTTTTGAGCATTTTCTTACTTCCTGGGACTACAAGATGCTCCAGGTTCATCTTGTATTTTCTCTCCCACATCCCAATTATCAGCCATTTCTCCAGGGAGACTTGGCTCCTTTTATTGAAGATGAAATTTAGAAACTAACATCTGGGCATGGAATGTGCTTGCTGCTACTGGGGTGTCCCCTCTCAAAGGACAAACCCAGGATCTACAGATGTGTGTGCTAAGCCATGTATGCACACGCACGTGTGTGTGTATATATTTAACCTATCTGTATATATGTATTATGTAAACATGAGTTCCTGCTGGCATATCTGACTATAACTGACCACCTCAGGGTCCATTCTGATCTGTATATATGTATCATGTAAACACGACTTCCTACTGGCATATCTGACTGTAACCGACCACCTCAGGGTCCATTCTGATCTGTATATATGTATCATGTAAACATGATTTCCTACTGGCATATCTGACTATAACTGACCACCTCAGGGTTCATTCCGATCTGTATATAAGTATCATGTAAACACGAGTTCCTGCTGGCATATCTGACTGTAACCGACCACCTCAGGGTCCATTCTGATCTGTATATATGTATCATGTAAACACGAGTTCCTGCTGGCATATCTGACTATAACCGACCACCTCAGGGTCCATTCTGATCTGTATATATGTATCATGTAAACATGAGTTCCTACTGGCATATCTGACTATAACTGACCACCTCAGGGTCCATTCTGATCTGTATGTATGTATCATGTAAACACGAGTTCCTACTGGCATATCTGACTATAACTGACCACCTCAGGGTCCATTCCGATCTGTATATAAGTATCATGTAAACACGAGTTCCTGCTGGCATATCTGACTGTAACCGACCACCTCAGGGTCCATTCTGATCTGTATATATGTATCATGTAAACACGAGTTCCTGCTGGCATATCTGACTATAACTGACCACCTCAGGGTCCATTCTGATCTGTATATATGTATAATATATATTATATATGGACCTCAGGGTCCATTCTGATCTGCATATATGTATAATATATATTATATATGGACCTCAGGGTCCATTCTGATCTGTATATATGTATCATGTAAACATGAGTTCCTGCTGGCATATCTGTCTATAACCGACCACCTTAGGGTCCATTCTGATCTGTATATATGTATAATATATATTATATATGGTCCTCAGGGTCCATTCTGATCTGTATATATGTATCATGTAAACATGAGTTCCTGCTGGCATATCTGTCTATAACCGACCACCTTAGGGTCCATTCTGATCTGTATATATGTATAATATATATTATATATGGACCTCAGGGTCCATTCTGATCTGCATATATGTATAATATATATTATATATGGTCCTCAGGGTCCATTCTGATCTGTATATATGTATCATGTAAACATGAGTTCCTGCTGGCATATCTGTCTATAACCGACCACCTTAGGGTCCATTCTGATCTGTATATATGTATAATATATATTATATATGGACCTCAGGGTCCCCGCTGGCTTTTCCATGACTTCCTTATCCAGCTGTGAGAACCCTGACTCTTACTACTGTATTGACTTATTTGTGAAACCTTAGTATATATAAAAGTAGTTTCAAAGTTGCTAACATGTATTGCTGTGGGAAACAATTTTACCAATTGGAGTTTAGTGCTTAGATATGCAGAGTTATTTGATTCTTTCCAGAATCTAATCAAAACACTGTTTTTGGACTTACCCAGGTCAGCTCCTTTCTGCCCACTCTTTCAGCGCAGGCGTGTCCTGCTGTGGAACACACTCTGGGATTCCTGTGTGGGTCTGTACCCGTCCTGTACCCGTCAGGACCCCCGGGCCCTGACTCTTGATGTTGTTCTTGCTCCTCTTGTTGATCTTGTTGTTCCCACAGTGAGGTCCAGTCCTGTGGGGTTTGACAAGCACAGCATCACGTACCCAACTCTGTAGAGCCACACAGAAGACTTTCATCCCTCAAAAATGGCCCCAGTTCGGCCCCTCGGTAGTAAACTCCTCTCCCCTCACTCACCCACTGGCAAATACTGATCTGTTTCTGTCCCGATAATTGTGTCTTTCCATATACACAAAAGTGAAGTCTGAGGGTGAGGCCCATGGCCTTGGGAAGCAGGCATAAGTTGGGGGGGGTGGGCACACAGGGTCACCGCGGAAGAAGATCCATGCTGCCCACACAGCCACATGTGGGACAGGGCAGGACCAGCCCCCCAAGCTGTGAACCTCGCCCGAGGCTATGCCCCACTCTGGAGCAGAACGGCCTCTGCAGAGCTTCCACCATGCACATGGGGAGTGCACAGCCAGGCCAGGAAGGGGAGGGCCCCTGTCTGCAGAGACAGGCCCATCCTGGACAGGAGGGAACAGCATTCCAGGCAGATCCGCCACTGGCTGCTGTTCCCAGAGTGGCTGTGTCCCCTCTGCAGTGTCCATGCCCAGCCGGCCTCCCCTGCCTCCCTCTGCAGCTGTCCACGCCCAGCCAGCCTCCCTGCCTCCCTCTGCAGCTGTCGCTCTCCACCCTCCTCTCCTTTCTTCTCTCCATCCCCCCTCCATCCCCGTCTCCTTTCTCCTCTCCATCCCCCTCTCCATCCCCCTCTCCATCTCCCTCTCCTTTCTCCTCTCTAGCCCCCTCTCCTTTCTCCTCTCTATCCCCCTCTCCTTTCTCCCTCTCCATCCCCCTCTCCTTTCTCCTCTCCATCCCCCTCTCCTTTCTCCCTCTCCATCCCCCTCTCCTTTCTTCATGGCTCTTTCCCTTTCCTGCCACAACTGAACTGAGTGCAGGTGATTTTCGCTGCCTGCTGGCTTTATTCAGCTTCAACTTCTTGACTTTAAAGGTGGATGCAGGAAATGTGTGTCTTGTGTCACACATGGAAATGTTGCTGAAATAAGTTACTCTTCACTGATGTGGCCTCGAGGGTTTTCTGCTGGGTTTCTGGACCTTGTAAGCAAAGCAGACCCTCACCCGACTGACCTCCTGGCTGTGACGATGTGTGTTTCTATCCCACACAGGGAGGGTGTTTATGGTCTGAAGTGAGGCCTCTCATTAACTCCTCAAGAGTCGATTGAAGCACAATTTATTAGAGCCCAGAAATCATGGCAATCCATTCCCACAAGCACACAGCACAGCTAAACCAGCTCCAAGGAGGGTCCGAGTGTCCACAACTGCACCCCAGGCCCATTGTGCCTGCCGCTGGAGAGTGTGGGGCCCCTTGGCCCCTAAAGGTTTGCTGAGAAGTCACTGACATGAGACAGATGGATTAATAGGAGAAACGGTATGCAAATTTATGTGATGTGTACATATAAGAACCTTTAGAACGAAGACCCAACGATGGGGGAAATTGTCCATTTTTATGTTTAGGTTTAATAACGTATGAACAGTCCTCTAAAAAAAGGATTGGACACAAAGGGCTTGATCTAATGTGAATAGACTGAGTGGGAACCCAGCAAGGTCTGTCTAGATTTGTCTTCGTCTCTGAGCATTTTCTTCTCTGGACGTGGGGCAGGGCCCTCTCTGGAATGACAGTCTCATGACCTACAGTCAAACAAGGGATGTTGGATCATTTCTCTCTAGTCAGCTCTTATATAGAAAGGTAGACGGAAAACTGAGTAATATTTTTAGGTTTTCTGACCAGCTTTGGGGAGAAGGGGTTCTGATTTCTGTGACCGGCCTTGGGGAAAAAGAGAGTCTGGTTTCTACAGCGCCTTCGGGGAGAATGAGACTGAGAGACAGGAGGGCAGGAGAAGGTCAGAGACAACTTTTGCTTCTGAGGCTGCTGCTGAGGACTTCATTTTGGGGCGTTGTTTTCTGAGCCCCAACAGAAGGAAGGAAGCCTCTCCCTCCAGGGGTCAGTCCTGGGCCTCAAGGGCACCCTCGAAGCAGGCAGCTCAGCTCACAGAGCTCCCCTCGGCCATGTCCTCCACCTGCCCTTCCTTGGTCCAGCACCTCACCTGCACACACCTGTCTGGAGAGTCCCCAAGGTTGGAGAGCTGCTGAGTCAGCTGGGCCGAGCACACAGCGCAACACTTCCTTGTGCCTCCTAACCAGGATGGGCGACACCAGCCCATTTTATGGATGGGACAAGAAGAAGCTGGGCTGACAAGCCCAACATAGTGGAGCCAGCAACAGGCTTTTACTCTCCTCTCTGTCTCTTTGTCTCTCTCCCCCACCGCACCTCCATCCGCTCCATTCTCCTCTCTGCACATCAGCTTCCCAGACAATATTCTTGGTTTCTGTGGCTCCCAAACTGAAGCTTCCCCACAGTGGCTGCAACTATCCAGACCTGGGGCCACACTTGGGCCTCCAGGCAGGGGATCTAGTGATCACATTCTGGTCATGTCATCAGGCCAACTTGGCTGAGCTCTGCCCTCCTTATCTCTCTTCTCCCCTCGAGCCCTCACCCTGGTTACCTGCACAAGTAAACTTGCCCCTAACTGACCCCCTTTTCTCCCTCCATGTCCCTCAATACAACACTAACTCTGGCAAAAAAGACCAGCCTGGCCAGGTGCGGTGGCTCACGCCTGTAATCCCAGCACTTTGGGAGGCCGAGGCGGGCAGATCACAAGGTCAGGACATCAAGACCATCCTGGCTAACACGGTGAAACCCCGTCTCTACTAAAAATACAAAAAATTAGCCAGGCATGGTGGCAGGCACCTGTAGTCCCAGCTACGCGCGAGGCTGAGGCAGGAGAATGGCGTGAACCCGGGAGGCGGTGCTTGCAGTGAGCCGAGATCGCGCCACTGCACTCCAGCCTGGGCGACAGCGAGACTCCGTCTCAAAAAAAAAAAAAAAAAAGACCAGCCTGAAGCAGAGATTGGGTCCCAGCCTGGCTCTGCCTGGCCCTCTGCTCCCGCTTCACCTCACAGACAGAACGCTGCCCTGTGGAGGGGTCCCCGGACCCTTTGGTGGGTGCCAAGCGGGTATGGAGGCCAAGGCCTGAGTGGTGAGAATAGTCCAGGGGCTAGCGCTGCGTGGGGAGGGCGAGCTCAGAGAGCAGGGGAGCCTGACCCTGCAGGTCAAGACTTCTGTCTGAGAGAAATGAAAAGCTGGGGATTTTAAGCAAAGGAATGCCTTGACCCAACCCTCACAACTTACATAATAATTAACTTAAAAGGAATCATAAGTTTAAACAGAAAATCTATATAAGAGGTTTACAGTTTAATTTAAAAACTATAATAGGTTTATAGTTTTTAAATTAAAATTTTAAATATAGTGGTTTATAAAACTTTGAGAAGAAAACATAAAATCCCTATGAATGCTGCAAAAGTCACTGTTGAGAGAATGAAAACACAAGACATAGAGTTGGAGAAAATATTTGTGAATCTCATATCTGGCAAAGGAATTGTATCTAGAATACATAAAGAACTCTCAAAATCCAACAGTAAAAACACCAAATAATCCAGTTACAAACCGGGGAAGGACTTGAACAGATGCGTCACCAAGCAAGGGATATGGATGGGAAATAAGCTTCCATCAGCCACCAGGGAGATGCAAATTACAGCCACTAGGAAACGCTTTTCATTCATTCCGGGATGGCTGAAATGTAAGCACGGAAAATGCTGGGTGCCCGCAAGAACGCGGAGCAGCAGGCACTCATTCCCGATTAGCGGGAGCGCAAAGCGAAGGGGCGGCCTGTGGTGTTTTCCTGTAAAGTTGGGCACACGCTTCCCACATGACTCAGCAATTGCACTTCTGGGTATGTACCCGAGAGAAACAAAAGCTTATGTTCACACAAAAACCTACAACGCAAATGCACAAACAGCTCTATCCAACAACCATCCCACCCTGGAAGCAACCCAAACACGCTTCAGCGGCACAGGCGCCTCCACGCGGAACCCCACGCGGCGCTCAGCACGGACGAGGAGGGAGCCGCGCACGCGCGGTCGGCTCGGCGAGGAGCCGGTCTCCAGGTGCCGCCAGCTGCGGGATTTCCTCTGCAAAAGACAAACCACAGGGAGAGCTGCCGGGGCTGGGTCGGGGAGCGTGACTGTGAACGGAGTTCTGGGGGTGATGTAACTGTTCTGTATCCACAGTGTTGCTACATGAATCTATAAATGTGTTAAACTCATAGAACTGTACACCAAAAAATAGCAGTTTTGCTGAATGTTAATTCAGAAATGAAATTAAAATTTTAAATTAACAACAAGCAACTTTACAAGAGGAAAAAAAAAAACCTCATTTCCTCCCCACAAAGCCACCTCATGAGCCTGGGTGGTGCCTAGCCAGTCCTGCTGCTGAACCTGCTCTGACCTGGCCTAAGGGTAGGACTCGAGGCTGGGAGCCAAGGGCCAACCACAGGACAGGCAGCAAGACCCGCTTCGCTGGTCTGTCACACACACCGCACCAAGTCGGTGTTCAGGATAAACCGGGGCACACTCTGAGCTGGGCCTGTCTCCGGCTTCAACCAAAAAGCCTGAGCTCTGGCAGGTGAAGGACCAGACGTTTCTGTGGGGCTATGGACTTGTCTGGGAGGCAGCCACCTCTAAGCCACCCAGGATGGTTTCGGTTGTGTTTGGATGGAGTTCTGAGTTTTGCCAGTTAAAATTCCCCCTTCAGGAGCTCTCTATGGGGTTAAAGTGCAAGATTTGGGGTAGAAAAATGACAAGTCAGAGGACTGGAAGGAACATTATGGACTGTCCTCCCTTCTGCCTGAAGAGATGGGGAGACTCTCCCAGGCCATGTGGAAGACCTCACAGGGGGACCAACAGCTGCCTTTCAGCCTGGCCGAGGGAAGAGCCCCTGACTCAGCCTCCGCAGGAGGAGGTGGGCTGGAACCAAGTTTCCCTGCATCAATCCAGGCAGGCAGCCCCGAACAGTGCACTCCAACATGGGATAGTGAGCCAGCTTGGGGGACAGCAGCTGTCTAAACAGGAGCATGCAACCCCCGTGCTGAGAGTTCCCCAGGGTCACGACTACCCAGAGTCAGAGCTGCCCAGGGTCACAGCTACTCGAGGTCAGAGCTGCCCCAGATCAGGGCTGCCCAAGGTCAGAGCTGTCCTGGGTCAGAGCTGCCCATGGTCAGAGCTGTCCTGGGCATCAGAGGCGCAGAGGTGGGAAGGGCTGGCTTCAGGTGGGAGTTATAGGTGGGAGTTATGCTACAAAGGGTCTTGAAGGCCAGTGTTGTTGACAGGGTAGGGTGCCTGGGTAATAGCAGAGGAAGAAAAAGGCTTAGAGTTGGAGGGAAAAACATGAACTGGAGTTGGGGGAGTGCACCTGCCCCCTCAGAGACCACAAAGCCTCCCCAGGGCTGGGCTGTGGCTGCTGGAGCTCCCAGACCATGCCAAGTGTCAGAGCCTGGGCAAGACCCTCTGGGGCAGCCCGGAACCACCAGAGGTCAGAGCTGGAGGAGGCTCAGCTGGGGCCCTTGCACCAGGCAGGAGGCCCAGAAAAGAGACAGTGCTCTTGAACTGCAGGAAGGCAGCTCCGTAGAGAGGCAAATCTCACTCCAGCTCGGGCAATACTCAACTACACGGACGTGGATGCTCTCAAGGGGGCTTTGGGGCATGTGGTGTCGGCATTGGACCCAAATATGGGCTCAAAGCTTTCCTTTACCATATTCTTTCTACATTTTTCTTGCAGATTGAGAAGGGATAGGGAGGAGTTTAGGGAAGTGAGTGAAGCAGGAAGATGTTGACCAAGGGAAGTTAATTCCATAAAGAGGAGGATGAGGGGACAGAAAGGCAGGAGGAAGAGGAGGAGGAGAATCTTCGCACAGGGGGTGTCAGCTGATGGGGGCAGCATGGGCGCCCATGGAGCCCTTTAGGGGTCGTTGGTTGTGTGCAGAGAGGCCACAGCAGGCGAGGCAGGCAGTGTCTACCACCCCCAAGGAGACACCAAGAATCCCTGTCCTTAGGAAGTCCCCTCTTCCTCCTCTTGAGTCTCATCTCGGAAAGAGGGAGCTGTCAGTCAGAGCTCAGGCCAAACACTGGGGCTAATAGGGGTGAGAGCAGGGACCTGTGGGGTCCTCACCGCTGTCCCCTTCTCACCTTTCTGGCTCAGGCCAGGCTCAGCCCCCAGTGGTCTATTGTCTTTCTATCTGTCATCTATCTACCTACCCACCTATCTAACCATGCCATCTATTTCATCTATTTTTATCTATCAACCATCTATCATATATCTACCTACCTACCTTTCCATCTATCATCTAGTTCATCTATTGCTATCTATTATCTAATTTGCCTATCAAGTATCTATCCATCATCTATTTCTATCATCTATCCATCACCTGTTACCTATCACCCATATACCACCTATCCCTATCTATCATCTATCTAGCCAGCAATCCACCCATCATCTACTTCATCTATTTCTACCCGTCTCCCACCCCCTCTCCCCACCCCTCACCAGAGAGTATGCAAGCACGACCACGTCAACAGGCCCTGAAGTCACAGGTTCACACAGCACGTTTTCTGCTCCATCACGTGTATGGGGCAGGGGGCAGCAGAGCTGGGGGAGAAGAGATAAAGGAATTATGTCAAACAGGGACTGTCTTGTCTGCCCCAAGGGTCTTTCCTCATCTATAAAGCAGATTTTTCTTGTAGAGCACCACGAGAGCTGTGAAATGGGAGTGAGGGGTGAGGCAGGCCATGGGGCCTTCCACAAGGTGGGCAAGATGGTTGTCTCTGGGGAACCAGCTGGCCAGAGGGGGCCAAGTGCCAACCGGTCTGGATGAGAGCAAAGCAGCAGGCAGAAGGTTACAGAGGCAAGTGTCGGCACCAGGGGTGAACGCTGGGATTTTTCAAATCCAAGAGACATTTCAAGTAAGGGGAAAACCTCCCCCAGGGCTGGGCTGAGAAGCTAGTCGGGTGATGGGATGAGTGAGAATGACAAGTTGCGTCTGATTGTCCTGGAGACCTGGCTGAGAACTCTGTGTGAGTCTCTTAGGTAGACGGTTACACTTGTTTTCAGTGAGAGTCAGTTTCCATAGAGAACTGCATGGTAGTCACCAAGAACCGAGGGGGCCCAGGAATGCCCCAGCAGTGGTCTGGAAGGGCTTGTGGGGCTGGGCAGGAGGTGGGTGGGGACCGGGTGCAGGCAGAGGGAATTCAAGGGTACAGAGGCAGAGAGATGGTGCCGCCTGGGGAACGCAGCGCACCCAGGACAGAACAGGCCTGAGAGCCACACACACTCACAGCGGCTTCCCAGAGTGTTTGTTTTCTATGCACCAAGATGCTCCCCCAAACCCTCTGCAGCCTGTTCCCTGCCTTGGGGGTCCTGAGGGCCACCCTTCGGGTATGGGGTTCAGGTCGCTATTCCTTTCTCGATGCCCCTGGTGTGTCCATGGGATGAGCTGACTGGCCCACCTAGTGGGAGCCTGTGCACCACGGTTCGTGTGGCCCAGGGGAGGAGGTTTTGCCTTTCCTCGACCCCACTTTATGAAAGGAAAGCCTGAACCCCTGGGCCAGCTAGGGGAGTGAGCTAGGGTGGAGGGCAGTGCTGGTCATGGAGGGCAGTGTCCAGCCCTCTGCTCACCAGCTCCAAGAGTGATTCTGGAAACGGAGCCCAGTCCCTGGGCCCAAACCTTTGCCTCTGCCCTTCTTTCTCTCTACAAATTAGAGGCCACATCCCTGGCCACTGAAGCCTTGTACCCTGACCCACTGTCTGAACCTGATGGAGTCTAAATGCAGTGAGCGGGTGCCAGCCTTCCCTGGAGCTCTGCAGAGGCAAGGAGGGGGTGGATGGAAAGACGGGAGTCCCTCCCCTTAGGTGAGGGGGGGAACTAGGGCCCGGGGAGATGCCCAGGCCTGGCGGCCGGCGCACGCGGGTTCTCTGTGGCCAGCAGGCGGCGCTGCAGGAGAGGAGATGCCCAGGCCAGGCGGCCGGCGCACGTGGGTTCTCTGTGGCCAGCAGGCGGCGCTGCAGGAGAGGAGATGCCCAGGCCAGGCGGCCGGCGCACGCGGGTTCTCTGTGGCCAGCAGGCGGCGCTGCAGGAGAGGAGATGCCCAGGCCTGGCGGCCGGCACACGCGGGTTCTCTGTGGCCAGCAGGCGGCGCTGCAGGAGAGGAGATGCCCAGGCCAGGCGGCCGGCGCACGCGGGTTCTCTGTGGCCAGCAGGCGGCGCTGCAGGAGAGGAGATGCCCAGGCCAGGCGGCCGGCGCACGCGGGTTCTCTGTGGCCAGCAGGCGGCGCTGCAGGAGAGGAGATGCCCAGGCCTGGCGGCCGGCGCACGCGGGTTCTCTGTGGCCAGCAGGCGGCGCTGCAGGAGAGGAGATGCCCAGGCCTGGCGGCCGGCGCACGTGGGTTCTCTGTGGCCAGCAGACGGCGCTGCAGGAGAGCTCAGGAGCAGGGGCCTGGGCCTGCTCCGGGGGAATCCGCCCACCCCACCGCGGCGGCCTCTCCTGAGGTTCCCTAGTGGCCGCGAAGGGTGGGCTCAGGGTGAAGGGTCAGGCCACACCAGTGGGTGCGGGGATGGCTGCGGCCACGGGAGGGCGTCCAGGGAGGAGGCCGGAGCTCAGGCCCACTCTGCACACCCAGCCCGCCACCTCCCCCGGCTCTCTCTTCCTTCGTGCACATTCTGGGGCTCATGCTTCTGCTGTGGTCCCATTTAGCCAACCTGGCCAGCCTTTCATGCCTGCTTCATGGGTGAGACGTGGAGGCCAGGTCAGCCGCAGAGCCCGGGGCACACGCCGCAGCCAGCACAGCAGCAGGTGGGCGTCTGCGGCCGGGGCCAGCGCAGGGCCCACTGGGCCTCGGAGGGGCCTCCCTGCCGACTCTGCCCCCGTCCTGTGGCCGTAAGTCCACCCAGAGCGCTCGATCTTCCGTCCACCAGGCCAGGGATGCACGCAGAGTAAGGATGTGTGTGTCTAGGCATGTGGGGGTGTGGGTGTGACGGGGTGTGTGCTGTGTGAGAACGTGTGTGTAGTGTTCACATGTCCTCTGTGCGTGAGTCCCTGTGTGTGATGTTGTGTTCTCGGTGTGAGTTCATGAGTGTGACGGGGCGTGTGCTGTGTGAGAACGTGTGTGTAGTGTCCACATGTCCTCTGTGCGTGAGTCCCTGTGTGTGATGTTGTGTTCTTGGTGTGAGTTCATGGGTGTGACGGGGTGTGCTGTGTGAGAACGTGTGTGTAGTGTTCACATGTCCTCTGTGCGTGAGTCCCTGTGTGTGATGTTGTGTTCTCGGTGTGAGTTCATGGGTGTGACGGGGCGTGTGCTGTGTGAGAACATGTGTGTAGTGTTCATATGTTCTCAGTGTGAGTTCATGTGTGTGACGGGGTGTGCTGTGTGAGAACCCGTGTGCAGTGAGATCGTCCCCAAAGGTAGTTCAAAGCTGGGGCCCTTTCATTTGCCAGGATCTAACCCAGCTACTCAGGAGGCTGAGGCAGGAGGATCACTTTAGGCCAGGATTTTGAGAGCAGCCTGGACAATATAGTGAGACCCTGTCTCTACAAAAAAATTTTAAAAATTAGCCGAATGTGGTGGGGCATGCCTGTAGTCCCAGCTACTCCGGAGGCTGAGGTGGGAGGATTGCTTGAGCCCAGGAGTTTGAGGTTATAGTGAGTAGTGATGGCATCCCTGCCCTCTATCCTGGACGACAGACCAAGAGTCCAGCCCTAAAAAAAAAATTTAATTAAAAATTTTTAAATCTTTAAAAATTAAAAATCTTAAATTTTTCTTTAAGATTTATAAGAGGACTCAGTAAAGGCTGTGCTGGCAATAACATCAAACTACTGAATTCTTTGAGAACTCCTTGGAGATTATTATTTTGCATGACATAACTAAATATCTTAATGATTGACTTAATTACTTAGATGTCAGTCTGTATGTTTTTGGTGTCGTAAGTACAAAGCTTAGAACTGTTACTTTTAGGGCCAGGAGCAGTGGCTAACGCCTGTAATCACAACACTTTGGGAGGCTCAGTCAGGCGGATCACCTGAGGTCAGGAGTTTGAAACCAGCCTGCCCAACATGGTGAAACCCCGTCTCTACTAAAAATACAAAAATTAGCCAGGCATGGTGGCAGGCACCTGTAATCCCAGCTACTTGGGAGGCTGAGGCAGGAGAATCTCTTGAACCCGGGAGGTGGAGCTTGCAGCGAGCCGAGATTGTGCCATTGCACTCCAGACTGGGCGACCAGAGCGAAACTCCGTCTCAAAAAAGAAAAAAAAAATTACTTTTAAAACCAAGTACTAGCTCATCTCTAAGTAATACTATTTAAGTAGGCAAAAGCCCCTGGAGGTCGCCTGAACTTTTTATACTCTTAGCTGAGGGGACAGAAGAGAAATGATATGACATTTACAGAAACCCCTATGTGGCCTGGCCTCATTGGAATTTTTTCTGTTAGTTAAATAAAGACCATTTGTTTCTATTGATTAAAAACAAAATTATTCATATAATGGGTTCAAGAAAACAAATTATTTCCCTAATGGACAGTGTAGGTCAGGACTAGAAGCAAACAAGGATCTTCTATCCCTCACACATCTCAACACTCAAGCAAAAACTCAAAGAAAACAATGATACTGATGGCCACGTCATGCACCGTGCTCACACAAGGATGCCAAGAGGCTTCATATGTGTTCCTTACCTGGACCCTTTTCACTGGATCAGAAACATGGATGTCTTAGTCTGATAGGCATCCTCTGCTAATGCATTTTAAATGATTGAATCAATAATTTGATGGGCCACTTTTTATAAGATGCTACGATACCCTATGAAGCACTATTAAAATATTCATTTTTCTGCACACCAGATGTGGCCCAATTGTTAATAACCAATATTGGTTCTCTGGCAAAAGGAGCAAAGGCAGCCCTCTAAGATATTCCTCACTGATATTCCATTTTTCAGTGGGTAGGGAGACATGAGTAGGAAGCAAATCTGGGTCCCTGCACCCACGATCTTGGTGCCATCAAAGTGCCGCTGCTGGCAGGTTCCTGGGCACCATCTGAGACCAACCCCACTGTGAGGTTGAAGGAGGCTGATCAGAACAGTGGTCCTCCACCTCCTCCCTGACACCTTGGGAAGATGACTTCCCAAGTCATCTTCTATTTATGTGGTCTTATTCCCATAACTGGGGCCAGATGATCCCACCCTGGGAAGACTGGGGAAATACCCAGAATGCTGACCTGAAAGTCCAATTTTCCCAATGTTTCTACTGTTCCCATGTCAAAAGTCTTTGGGCAAAATCTCCCAGGCTTGAGAGATTTCAATCCAGCCTGGATCACCTCTCCACTTCCTCCATCCCAGAGTGAAATTAAAAATCCCATCTGCTGTCAATGAGGAGTCCCTTCAGGCCCTAAAGTTTAGGAAGAGGAATCCCTATCTTGTCTTCTTCACTGTCATCCCAGCACATCAGTTACTTAAAACAACCCAATTTCAAGAACTGATAGACCTTCATTTCTGGACACACCAAAAACAAGCAAATTCCAGAGGATCAGCTTCAGGGTGGCAGAATGGAAGGAGTAAAAGCCAACCACGGGGCCAGGTGCAGTGGCTCACGCCTGTAATCCCAGCACTTTGGGAGGCTGAGGTGGGCAGGTCACCTGAGGTCAGGAGTTCAAGACCAGCCTGGTCAACATGGTGAAACCCCGTCTCTATTAAAAACACAAAATATTAGCCAGGCATGGTGGCGGGCGCTGGTAGTCCCAGCTACTCGGGAGGCTGAGGCTGGAGAATCACTTGAACCCAGGAGGCGGAGATTGTGGTGAGCCAAGATTGCACCACTGCACTCCAGCCTGGGTGGCGAGTGAAACTCCATCTGAAATAACAACAACAAAAAGCCAACCATGGGATCTGTGGCACAGCTCTCACTTCACCATTAGCTCAGCCAGGACTGGCAAGGGAGTGCCGACTGGAGAATCTTATCCTCTGTTCCTTAGCTGTTTAGATGTATAAAGCCTGAGGGCTTGGCACCTAATTAGGGTTTCAGAGCTTTGTTTTTCTCTCATCTAATTACATTTGCCCTGTGGGGAAGAGCCTCTGTCCAGGAGGCATTGCTCTCTGAAAATCTGTCTCAGCCCAACAACAGGTGCGAGAAGGTGAGCAGCTCCTCTCCCCACCAATGCGGTGAGATGCTGAGCCAGGCCCTGGCTTCTTCTTCCTCCTCTCCTTTCATTATCTCTAACTCCAGTGTCAGCCCTCAAGCAGTCCCCTGCTTTGTCACCCCTGGCAAGGTGGGGAATGTTCTCTTAACCTGCAGCTTTCTCCTTCGGGAACAAAGCGCAGCCTCTTAGCAGCTAGCAATCAACTCCTGTGCTCGGGGCCTTCCAGCCAGACCTTCTGCAGTGCACCCTGGTAGGGGGTAAATTATCCTGAGCTTGGAAAATGTGACTGAAATCACCTCCGACAGAGGGAAATGGGTTTTCATAAAAGACGTTTCCTCACCTTCGGTTGCAACTCAATTCAACTGACCATTTCCCACCCTGGATCTCAAAAGAAATTTCTGCTTTGCTTCTGGGTATGAGCCTGGGTGATAATGAAAGGTACTTAGGAAGCCAGGCCTATTGAAGCAGCGTAGCCCTCAGAGGGGCATGGCTGACTTGGCTAAAAGTAGGACAGGGTGTGGGGTTGAGGAATCCATGGGGACTCAGGGCATCCTGTCGCAGACACAGGAGCTGACCCAGCCACAGGGTCACAGGACAGCCTGTGTCACCACAATCTCTGTGCAGAGTCCAGAGTTCACAAATGAGATAAATGGACATTTGCTGACTGGGGTAACTCAGCATCTATTCACCCTATTTCTGGGAAAAGCCTCAATTTACATGTGGGAATGGACCACCCCCTTATTGTTATAGGAGTTATTAAGAAATTATTTTAGGCAGATAGAGAGGAAAAGAGGTCCTTGGGAAGTTTTTGTTTCTTTTAAAGCAGATCCAGAAACCTTTCTTGTCTAACAGGAGAGCGCCAGCTCTAAGAGCCACTGGCAAGCTTTGATATGCAAACGCAGGCCACTGGAAACTGAGTCCACCCAAACATGGAGATTCCAGGTTTCTTCCTTGCCCCAACAGGTGGCTGGCAACATGGCCGCCCCCACATATCCCCACGTGTGTAGAACATCATGGCGCCCTGCATTTGCATTCTTAAAAGGCTAGACTGTGAGGGCCAGCTTTTTCGCAGGCTATGTGAATGACCTGCCTGGTCAAACCAATCCTCTGAGCCCTATGCAAGCCAGCACCGCCTCCTCCAGCCTCCTCATATAACTAGCTGATTACACCACACACACGCCCTCCCCCCACATCCCTTCTCCCCACCGGGGTTTTCTCTCTGTTCAAATCCCCTCTCCCTCTGTCTCTGTACTGGGGAGCTGTTTTCTTCTTCCTTCCTTCTTTCTTGTATATTAAACTTTTCGCTCCTTAAAACCACTCCAGGTGTGTCTGTGTCATTTTATCCAAGTGTGTGCTAGACCAAGAACCCTGGTGCTCCTCCAGTCATCTGAGCCATATCATTATCTCATTCTGTTTTTGATGGCACTAACCACCAGCGTACCCTGCTCCATCAGAACACTCATCCTCCTGAGCTCTGTGAATGGCTCAGGATGCACAAGTGAGAGAAAAATGTAGCCAAGTGAGGAGGCAGAGAGAAACTGCCTCCTGGTAACACAGTGTGCGCCCCTGGATCAAGCCATGCCTGAAGGCAGTTTATTCTGAACTTTTACAATAAGTGCTCTTTTTGTTTAAATCACTTTGGATTGGGTTTTTGTTCACTTGTAAGCAAAAGCACACTATGATAAAAGGGGATACAAGACAAGTATCACAAATCCAGAAATGAGAAGGGCCCAACCCCAGAGCCCAGGCCAGTCAGGGAAGTGAAGAAACAGACAGCATCTGAGATGCCTATGCCCAGTATCCAGGGGCTAGGTCCATGGCCTTTGAGCCTTAAGATGCAGGAGATCCCTGTGGGGAACTTCACAACAGCGTAGATTCCCACTCATTCCCACAGCCAATTCTCATCCTTCAGTCTGGAAGGGGAACCAGAGGTTTGGTTTTTAACCAATATCCAGGCAATTTGGAAGCAGATAACACAGAGAATACTTTGAGAAACACTTCCCTACACTCTGAGCTGGGAGTTAAAGGACAGGGTTCCAGTCTCTGCGGTGAGGCAGTGGCAAGAGCTCCGTGGGCGGGAAGAATATTAGGCCAGAGCTTAGAACAGGACTGCAGAAGCAAGCATGGAATGGAAGCACATCTGGTGATCTGTGACATACAACGAGCCTGCAGATCACAGGCAATGATTTTTGGAAACTCATCACACAGTAGTTTGAAGCAGCAGGAACGATTTCATCCAAAGTGCCATGAGAACACTTCCGAGTCTACAAATGCTTTCATAGGTCAATCTAAGCTGTTCCTCCCAACCAACCTGTCTGGCAATTAGAAATTAGGAAATTAAAACTCAGAGTGTCTAAATAGCATGCACAAAGCCACACAGCTCACTGGTTCAGTAGCCTAGACCTGGGTCCCAGTCTGTCTGACACCAAAACCCACACTTTTCAAATAATTCTCCCTTCCACCGGGGGAAGGGCTGGGTCTCAGGAAAGGTCTAAGGGACACACAGTGCGGGGATCAGTGAGACCCTACTCAGCAGGCCCAGATGAGGGAAGGGGGTGCTCCATCTGACTGCACAGGAAGGCAAGGCCATTTTAACTTTGCAGCATCTTCAACTCATCTGGCTCAAGAAATCCCAGCCCAGCTTGGGGATGGAGAGTGGAGGAACACAGGGGCACCCTTGCAAGTGAAGACTAAGCTCTGATTTTTTTTTTTATCTTACCCAAATTCCCTATCTAAAGGGTCTGGGGAGTGATGTCCTACAAACCATAAATTCTCATCAGATGGATTTTATTTAACCCTATATATTGTGACTTACTTTCCAAACTGACTCTGTCATAACATTATGAGACAAGGAAGAAAATCAAAATATTTTACCCCAAAACATAGGCTTTTTTGTCCATATCTTGAAATGGCCCTGCAAAGCTGTCCTTTGTGGGGGAAAATTTGTATCTGTAAAGAATCTCTATTAACATAGCTAGATATTTTTCTTCCAGGCCCTCCCAATCCTAAAGAGATTAACTGAAAGTCTAGCACTTTGTTTTTTTTTGTTTGAGACGGAGTCTCACTCTGTCGCCCAGGCTGGAGTGCAGTGACATGATCTCGGCTCACTGCAACCTCTGCCTCCCGGGTTCAAGCGATTCTCCTGCTTCAGCCTCCTGAGTAGCTGGGACTACAGACGCCCACCACCACACACAGCTAATTTTTATATTTTTAGTAGAAATGAGGTTTCACCACATTGGCCAGGATGGTCTCAAACTCCTGCCCTTGTGATCCACACCCACCTGGGCCTCCCAAAGTGCTGGGATTACAGGCGTGAGCCACCGTGCCTGGCCAAGTCTAGCACCTTTTAAAGATCTGAATAGGAAACATTTGCCATCTATTGTCTCTGAGGACAGCCTCTATAAGACTTCAAAAGAACCTTGGTCTCCACCATCTTTTATCTTAACTTGAAAATTCCCTTTCTATGGATCCCAGGTCTTTAGACAAACTCACTGAAATTTACCTATAGCCTGGAAGCGCCCCTCTCCTCCTGCTTTGGTCCCACCTTTCTGGACCAAACCAGTGTATTTCTTAAATGTACTTGATCGATGTCTCATGCCTTTCTAAAATGCATAAAACCAAGCTGTACCCCGACCACCTTGGACACATGTTCTCAGGACCTCCTGAGGGCTATGGCAAGGGCCGTGGTCACTCATATTTGGCTCAGAATACATCTCTTCAAATATTTTACTGAGTTTGACTCTTTTCGTCTACAGGAGCAATGGAAATGATTTTCTTTGATCACAGTGTCAGCTCCTGACATTGGGTTGCACCCATCTGTGCTGCGGACTCTTCCCTCGGAATGAGAGAGGGAGATGGCTCCCAGTGTGGTTGGAAGTCACCCCACCCCACAACAACACAGTGCAACAGGCCCCGGCTTCACGCCCATTCAGTTCAGGACAAGTTTTTTGGAGCATCTACTCTGGGCCAGGCCCGTAGGATACTAAGATGAAATAGAGACAGTTCCTGCCTTTGAAGGGTGGTGATTTACCGGTGGGGAGAAAGGAAGAGGCCCATGAAAAGTCGTGTCTGTAGAAGGTAAGAAGGGGCACAACCGCCATGGCAGGGGAGTCACAAAGGAGAAGCATTCAGCCTGCCGAGAGGTCCCAGGACTTTCCTGGAGGATCAGTCCCCAAACTGACTGTGACAGGGAGCTAGACCCAGATAACAGCAGAGGCCCAGAATAAGAAAGAGTCTGTGAGTGGGCAGAATTCCCTCCAGGGTCATGAGGGGAGCTGACTTCTGATTAGGGCATTTCATCCTTCTCTGAAATGCAGCTGAGAACTGGTCAGCCTCACTCCCTTGCTGAGACCAATAGCAATCCCTGATGATCTTGCCACAGGTCCAGCAGGTGCCCCATCCACACTTTGTCCCCAGCCCCTACCAGGAAGCTCCAAACACCTACCTGAGGGGCCAACTCTGATTCCCAAGGAGGTGACACCTCCTGCCCCTTGTTGATAGAACATTGATAAGGAAATAGGACTGAGTTTTAAGCTTCTTTCCATGTCAAATATTTAAAGGCAATATAATGTTCAAGTTTAAATAATATTTCATGTGTAATTAAACAATCCCTTATTGTTAAATAGATGGGTTCCAATTTTGAACTGCTATAATCTGTGTATGTGTCCTTGATTAAATCCTTAAGAGAAATCCCTAGAAACATTATCTTAGGGTCAAATGGCTTGGATATTCTGTAAACTGCTGATAATTATGGGAAATTGCCTTCCAGGAAGGTTATAACAATTTGCCTGATCCCCAGCAGCAACAGACTTTACAAAGTACTCAGTATCTAATATTTAACTTTGATAAAGATAAGCTTCTCCCTTCTTTTTCACTTAAAATGCTCTGTCCCACCTCACTTTTCAGTGTCTCTTCACACTGACTAGACGGTTGGCTAATACTTCAGAGCTTGCAGAGCATCTTTATACACTTTTAATCCTCCTAACAACCGTGAGAGATGGAGCTTACTATTATCATCCGTGTTTGCAAATGAGGCCCTGAGAAGTTGAGTGATTTCTGTAAGGTCTCAGAGCCAATAGACACTGGTAATGAAATAAAATGCAAGGCCCCTTATCTTTGGAGCCCAGTGTTCCTTCCACATAGGTGGTTCTCCACCCAGGCTGCCCAGGAGAATGTGGAATCTCCAGCAGTTCTGACTTAACTGGCCTGGTGTGGATGTCTGTGATGGGTGAACATTCCCAGACCCTTTTAAGAACGTGATAGAAGTGGTAGACCCACTTCCCAGAAAAAGGGACGCACAACAAAATAATTGTCCTGAGTGGGTCTGACAGAATCAAGTGAACCCTTTAAATCTGGATCTAGAGGTCAGAGACTGAGAATGTCAGAGATGCAAAAGAGATTCAGTGCAAGAGAAATCCTCCTACTGGTTTTGAAGATAGATGTTGGCACCCTGTGTCAACAACCTGAGAGTGGCCTTGAGTTGCTGGGAGCACCCCAGACTGACAAACAGCAAGAAGAATATGGGGACCTCAGTCCTACAACCACAGGAACTGAATTCTACTGACAACCAGTGAGCTTGCAAAGAGGACTTGGAGCCCCAGATGAGAAGCAACCCTGGCTACCCCGATCTCAACCCTGTGAGATCCTAAACAGACAATCCAGCCATGCAACACCCAAACTTCTGACCTATAGAAACCCTGAGATAATAAATGGGCATTGCTCTAAATCACCAAGTTTGTGGTAATTTGTTACACAGCCATAGGAAGTGAATCGACCCGATGTATCTGAGCACCTGCTAGGTTATCATTAAGATTACTCTTCAAAGGTAAAAATTATTTTTCAAAATGTTTCTGCCCTACCTTCCGTGAGCATCTGGTGATGGATGGACACACACACATAAAGGTAGACTGTGTTTAGGTGGGCATGGTGGTGCATACCTGTGGTCCCAGCTACTCAGGAGGCTGAAAGAGGAGGATCACTAGGGCCCAGGAGTTCAAGGCTGCAGTGAAGCTGTGATTGAGCCATTGCACTCAAACTTGGGCAACAGAGCAAGACACCAGCTCTAAAAAAAAAAAAAACTGCTGAATGCTATAAATAAGATTGGAACTTGCTCTGCTTTTACAAGACCACTGTTAGATGACCACTGACAAGAAGACTGTGAGCTGGTCTCTGTAGGAAGCAGGGGCCTGGGCAGCTCTGGGGGCACAGGAGACAGGCCTGGGGCAGAGACACCTCAGGGCATTTTCAGAAGACAGCCAAAGCAGCCATTCCAGCTTGTCCAGGTAGATGGCAAGTCAATGGGAAATGATTCCAGGAAGGTAGGGAAAGATGGAATTCTGGAGAGCATTGGACCTCAGATTGGGAGTCTGAACGTCTTTCCATATGCATCAGGAAGCCATGGAAAATTCACAGACTGGAGTGACTTTGGCAAAGGTGGGATTTAGGAAGACTGATCAAGGCACGGGATAGACCCATGGATGAATAGCCTTCTGGTCAGTTTGTCCCTGTGGTTTTCTATGCTGAGGAGGTGGGAATGTGCTGGGTGAGTCAGCTGTGGATTTGTGTCCCTGCCTCACCTCACTCCCCACTGTCGTGGATTTGTCGGCTCATCTTTAGTGCGCTCCCTGAAGAAACACTCAGTTCACTCAGCTTGTTTCTAACCCAAAACACTCTGCAGGGCCCATCCTCTTGTCTTTGCCTGGGGATGCCAGACCATGTACTGCGGATGCCTTCCGCCTTAGCACTAGTGGGCTAAATGATGACTGCCTTGCTGTCCCAACACCACCCATCAAAGGGAAGACATCACCACTGGGGTCAGTACAGCCCAAGTGACAAACTCTATTCCCTCCTTTCTCTCCATCCCATGGACCCTTGATTTGCTAAGTGGGAAGACACTTTCTCGTGGTTCAACATCACCTAATCTGCACAATTGCTTCTGCAGGCTAATTCAGCCAGAAACCCTGGATATCTGGGCAGAAGCGCATGGAACTTTTAGAAGGATTACTACTGCTTTTAATATTCCCTCTGTCTTGAGTCAGACCACCACCAAGATCAGAGTTAATATTATATATCAAAGTCCTGCCATCAGCCTGTAGGATTTATTACTAGCATCTCTCCACTTCAGAGCTATGGGAACCAATGGAATTGGATCTAAGGTTTTGAGTTGGCTCTTGTGCATGGAAATTTGATGCAAACACTCTAATTTATTGGCCCTAAAGGGCTTTGGCAAGTCATTTTGGCAAGTCACCCACTGAACACAGAGTGAAATTTGCAGAGGTTTCCCCTCTGCTCGAACAGTGGTGTTCTCAGCACGTACAGGGAAGTTCTGCCCCCTTCCAGCCAGGTGAGCTAGGGGATTTTGCCTACCCTTTCTGAACCTCAGTTTTCTCATCCATAAGATGGGAATAAAAACATGGTCCTGGATGTATGTCTCATGCTAGGCACTGAGGCAGGGTACTCTCTCCCCTGAATGCCTTGCTATTGATGCATCACCAGTAAGGCATGCATTCATTGCACAGAAACTTAGGCATATGCCTACCAACATGCCCGATGTTGTGTGAGGCCTGACCGCTGTGAGGATGGACTTCCATCTGTGTGAATGGATTCATGAGACCAGCCCTCACTCTCAGGACTGAGGGCATTGGTGCTCTAACTTGTCTGAATATGGAATCAGCTGGAGAGATTCTGTAAATTACCAGTCCCATTCCACCCCTGAGATCCTGATTTCATCGGTCTTATTTCATTGCAGCCTGGTCGTTGGGATGTTTAAAACTCTCCCTAGGAATTCCAATGTGCAGCCAAGTTTGCAACTACACGGAGCCAGGTTAGTGGTGCGGTCAGCATGGTGATAATTGGGCTCATGAACCCATGACCTCAGCTTCATCAGGAGACCCACTGTAAGTACTGGCCCAACAGGAGGGAAAGGAGCTGAGTCAGATGATACCACTGAGGGGCATGAGCAAATGAAAAAACAGGAACCCAGCCATGAAGCTCGGCCTGAGTGTTGGAGATGCCACTATAGAGACCCTGGTCTTAGCAATCCAGACTTTTCCCCAGCAGAAGGGAGAGGCGAAGATTATCCTGGCCGGGACTGTGTAAGGCCTTTGAAGGTTGACCATCCATCTCACCCTGCTGTTTCCCTCCTTCCCTGCAGAACAGCCGTTCACCTGAATGTTCCAGGCTTTTGGTTAACAACCCCTGGTCTTTTGTACCCATTCACACTCAAAATCAGGGGGAATTCCTTGAAATGGTTAAAATGCAAAAGTGAAATTTAGAAGCCCTATGAATGAAACAACAATCCAACAAAAAATTCCCAACACTTTAAGCAAATGCTTTTCTGGCAGAGCCTTCAAATTGCTACTGTCCCACTATCTTCTGGAATCGTGTGTGTGTGTGTGTGTGTGTGTGTAGAGCAACAGGTGAAGCAGCAACCATAAGGTAGCCTACTTCAGGTCTGGCACCTCTTTTCACTGCTGTCATGCCCTCTTCACTGAGATCCTGACTTAAATATGTACACATGTGAATGCTGATTTCTTAGCATGAATTTTAACTCAGCTGTTGCTCGAGCATCAATGATTCCCAATTCCCATCAGAGTGAATGGCCCCTTCCTGGTCTCTGCAGTCAGCCCTCTGAAGCTGCTCAGCTGAACCCCTGGGAGCTGAGGGGCCAACTCTGACTCCCAAGAAGGTGACCTCTATCTCCCTTCCAGGGCCAGAGATGCAACATCACACACACACTGCCTTTGGAATGTGTGATTAAGCTTTTGGCTGCCAGTAGCCTGACAGCTTCCAGCAGCTTTGTCTGCCACCATGTCCACTTCTCTGTGCCAAAGTCACTGAAACAAAGGGACTGCAGATGTTGCTGTGAAGTCTTTCCGATTCTCCAGGACAGAGGAAAGCACTACATTGGGTGGGGGGTGGAGTGGGGATGATGGACTGTGGGAAACCTGCATGATGGGCATGAAACAATAAAAATGAAGCTGATTTTCTTCATAGCACTTGCTGCCATAGAGATACATTTGTTTCTGTGACCCTCTCACTGGAATGTAAACTCCCTGAAAGCAAGGACTTGGCTTATTGCTGTATCCCAAGAGCCTGACACAGTGCCTGGCACATGGTAGACACTCAATAGATGTTTGAGATAGGGAGGGAGGGAGGCAGAAAGGGAGGGAGGCAGAAAGGGAGGGAAGGAAGGAGCAAGGAAGGAAGGAAGGAAGGAAGGGAGGGAGGGAGGGAGGGAGGGAGGGACATAGACAGTGGATTTGGATAGACTTGGCTTTAATCCTTTCTGTAGCAATTCTAGCTGTGTAAAAATACGCGAGTGAGTCATTTATTTTCTTTGAGTCTCTTTCTTCATCATAGTACCAATTAACAGGGCTGGGGTAGAGAGTGATACATGTAAGGTTGCTAGCACTATTGGCAATCAAAACATGAGAGCTACTTATTTACATTGTGAGTATTGCTACTACTGATATTATCATTTCTGGACATTACTAATGATGTGAGCACTGGCCTTTCATCAGAGATTACTGGATAAGGAACATTTACCGTCTTGTCTCTGCTCATTGTGCTAAAGTTCCTTCTTTATCCAACAACACTTTCTCCTGTTTTCCCAATTTAGTGAAAGGATTAATCTTTTCACTCTCATTCTTCCTGTTTTGTTTCCCATAATATGGGTCCCATCCTTCCTCATGAGATGGGTATCTCAGTAATTGAGCCCACCCCACCCACATATTTGACCCTGATCCAAGACCCTCATTTCTGGGAATGAACCCCAGATCAGCCATGATAGAGGATAGCCTGGTTTTATCTTTTTGCTTCTGAGCAGGATCCAACAATTCTCATAAAATTTTCCCCAGCCTGTTCAGTGGAATTGTCAAAGCATCATTTTCAAAAAGTGAAAACATGATTCTTATATAAGTCTATAGGGAGTGTGTATAAAGATCTGTTTACTTCACAAAAGAAAGAACCAGAGGATGGTAAAGCTGTTTGAAAAGAGAATTGGAAGGAGAAAGATTTGGATAGACCATCAGAAACAGCATGCTGACATAAGTTTGCTAATTTGGAAACCTCACTCATTAATGTCCTGTGGAGCAATAAAATCTTTTTACAGGACAAAAATCATTTGTATCTCTACCAGACAAAAATTAACATGTAACTTGGCAGAGTCTGGGCCCTAATCAATAGTAAATAGTAAGTCAAACAAAAGTACCTTCCCTTAGAGAGTTAAAAAAAGCTTTGGTGGTTTGTTAGGCAACCTTCCAGTATGGCATTAGAAAGACGTGCAGTCATCCTATTTTTACTTCCAAGTTTGGGATACTTTTTTTTTTGAGATGGAATTTTGCTCTTGTTGGCCAGGCTGGAATGCAGTGGCATGATCTCACCTCACTGCAACCTCCACCTCCCTGGTCCAAGCAATTCTCCTGCCTCAGCCTTCCCAGCAGCTGGGATTACAGGTACACACCACCACGCCTGGCTAATTTTTGTATTTTTTAATAGACACAGGATTTTACCACGTTGGCCAGGCTGGTCTCAAACTCCTGACCTCAAGTGATCCGCCCACCTTGGCCTCTCAAAGTGCTGTGATTACAGGCATGAGCCACCATGCCTGGCCAAGTTCAGGATACATTTTTAAAACAAAATTGGTCCCCCTCAGCCTGGTGGATGTCCCTGCAGAATTTAAAAATACTATTATGTTCTAGATGTCTGATGCTGTCAATTCTCAATGGCCAGAAGAGGGCATCTGCCCAGATCAGTTCAGGTGTCTATCCCTGGTCTGATCGCCTGTGCCCAGGGTAGCGTATCAGGTACACGGCGCTGTTTCTTCCCTGCTATTGGTAGAACAGCTTTTCCAAGAAGGGGATAGGCTGGAATGGAAGAAAAGAGTCCAAAGAGGAAGGAACCACAACAGAAAGAGAATTGCTTTCCTTTCAGTTGTGGGAGCACCAGCTTAATGCCTCTTTTCCACATTTGCCCAGCAGAGGAAATGTTTGGGCCGAATGACAGAAAACCTAGGGTAGCCTTTTTGGTGCCTCCTGACAATCACAGAAGCAGGCTGGGATCCTACCCAGGTATGGCAGAGCAAGTGAGCCCACCTAGGTGGGAATCCTTACCCTCCTAATCCTGCAGGTTCACTTCACAATCTTGTGTAGACCTTAAACCGTTGTTTAGACAGTTATATGAAATGGGGTATTTTCTAGAGAAAAGGACAGTGAATGGGGATATGGGGATTTTTTTTTTTTTTTTGAGACAGAGTCTCACTCTGTCGCCTAGGCTGGAGTACAGCCATGCTCCCAAGCCATGCTTCCTGTATGGCCTGTGGAACATAGAGTCAATTAAACATCTTTCTTTTTTTTTTTTTTTTTTTTTTTTTTTTTGAGATGGAGTCTCGCTCTGTCACTCAGGCTGGAGTGCAGTGGTGTGATCTTGGCTCAATGCAACCTCCACCTCCAGGGTTCAAGCAATCCTCCTGCCTCAGCCTCCTGAGTAGCTAGGATTACAGGTGTGTGTGTGTGTGTGTGTGTGTGTGTGTGTGTGTGTAGTAGACACGGGGTTTCACCATGTTGGCCAGGCTGGTCTCTAACTCCCGACCTCGTGGTCTGCCCACCTCGGCCTCCCAAAGTGCTAGGATTATAGGCATGAGCCACCGCGCCCGGCCCACCTCTTTTCTTTATAAGTTACCCGGTTTCAGGTAGTTCTTCATAGCAATGCAGACTAATACAACTACTTTGAGTCTCACCTTTCCTTATTTGGAAAAATATTTCCATTGAAGTGTTATGGTGAAGATTCAATACAATTAAATGATATAACATATGTAAAGGGCTTAGCAATAACCCAATGGCTAATAAGCAGCCAAGGAGTGGTAGCTCTCAGTATAGTCAGCCTCTAAGAAGAGAGCAAATGTTTATTTTCAAGAAGAATTATGCAGAAAGGGCCACTTTCAGTCTACCATCCCCCCAGATTCCTTGAAGGCAGGATGATGTGAGCAGCAAGGGAAGAAAGGGGAGTGGGCACGAAATACTACAGAACCTGCAGGGAACGAAGTCCCTCTGTCTGTGTGTGCCTATATCAATAACTTAAACTTACACATTCATGAGATGCACTGTGTTTATTAGGATGTACATGTGTCCCTAAGAATCTGAGAGCTCCTGAGAGACAGAGACGGTGTCTTACTCATCTGCTCTCCCCAGGTCCTCGCTTACTACCTGGCACTTATTGGGTAATAAATGTCTGTTGAATGCATGGAAAAAGAAAGGTAGGAAAGGTGTGAAGGAGAAGATGGAGGTCATGACCAGTAGAAATCTCAGCTGTTCTGCCTGGGCTCCATGTCATCTCCCTGCTATTAGGCCCATCAGAATGTAAGCACAAATGCCTAGAGAATGACAAGCTTCTTTGGGACTCTGCTGACTAGACATGACATAAGACTGGACAGCTCCTGGGGAACTTCCAAGAGCTGGCTCCAGGCAGTGACTAATCCTAGGAGCTGCTGGCTTGGCTGCCTCTCTCCCTTCCTTATTTCCAAGATTGGTCACCTCCTGCTCTGAAATAGCAATTGATTTTCAGACATGAGTTGATAGAACCATGATTTTCTAATACTGTTCCAAAGAGGCTAAAGTACCTCTGAGGAGCAGTGCAGGCTAGGATCAAACTCTCCCTACCTTCCACTCCACTCCCTACCTTGCCCCTCCACCTCTGCCCACTTTCTATTTCTTCAGGCACAGCAGCTTCTACCTTATGGATTACAAATTCTGATCATCCATCTATGGTTGCATTAGGAAAAGAGTACTGCTACTTTCATTTTCTTTTCTAACCACTGCCCTAGAAGAATAACACCTCACATTCTCTGGTAGACTGAAGCCTGCAGCTGCAAGGATGCTCAGAAAACCAGACTTCTATTCATTGGCCACTTGCTGCACGCTCTGTCCCTCGATCCTTGCAACGTACCTTTGAGGTAGACACAAAAATCCCCATTTACAAGTGAGAAAACCAAGGCAAAAGAGGTTCAGTTTATTTCAGGCTCAAATGTGCTTCCAATAGCTTATAGCCTCTACAGCTAGTGTTTGAACCCAGGTCTGAAACAAATAGGATTGACAAGGGGAGGGAAAAGAGGAACAGAAATTCTTTTCTATAAGACAATTGTTTATGCAGCCAGGATTTCTTAAAATCCAGTTTGTGCTTACGGACATAATCTTTGAATTTGCTTTGTTTCTCGATGAATAACTTGGAAGCTATTCAAATAACTTGGAAGCTTCCTTTAAAAGGAACATCAGGAGGTGATTTTTGACTAACCCTAGGTGTCCTTTCTGAGCCAAATAGATTTTCAAATAAGAAAATGAGAGGACATGAGCTTGAGGAAAATGATAGGCATTCCAACCTCATCCGCTTGCTGACGACCTCCACGTGATTTCAACAATGATTTCAAATATTTCACTTTTTAAGTCAGTGTGACTTAAGTATGAAATTGCCTCTCCCTAAAGCTCCCCTAAGGCCTAAACAGTCGTCATTACCATAGCTGTGACAGGGAGACTGTTGAATTTATAATCTATTGGCCATTCACAGCATAGCGTATAAACCTAGCTCATGATTTCTTTGCAATAGAAGTGTACTTTTTCATCACATTCCCTTCACAACTTACTCACCAGATCAGACTTTGAGCTCTCCTCCTGGCTTAGCCTGGATCGTTTGAAATGGTCATCCATCCTTTGGCCCCAATACCTAAACTAAGGTCTATGAACAATAAGATGATTTTCTTCAGTGGGACTTTTTTGTTTAATATAATATTAGATATTTCCCCTGATACAGGGCTCAATCTTTTTCTTTTTAAAGCAATATTTCTCAAAGTACTTTTCACAGAACTTAAGTTTCATTAAGCACTTCACTAAAAGAAAAGTCTGTGATCTAATAAATTTGGAAAATATTGAGAATTAGAGCCCCCTCTTAGATATGTACTGTAGCTACTCAGCTTGTTACAGATGAAGTAAACATTGTAATATTCACCCAGCTTTTGAGTGATGTCTATTAACGTCACCCAAATGAGTATTCCATGGAATGCACTTTGCAAAAACCTATTATTCAAGAAAATTCTGGAGCATGAAAGCTATTAACGATAAACCCATTCACAAAATCACACCAAATATCTAAAATCATGTTTAAAATCTCCTAGAAATGGGTTGAATTGCCCACTTCAGAGACAAAGTGATTCTTTTGTAATAACGAGTTTTGTTTAGTGAGTACTTATTATCTCATTGAATCCTGAGGACTACCTCACAAGGTAAGTATAGCTCTTTTCATTACACATGACAAACAAGGCTCAGAGAGGTTAAGTAACTTGCTCAAGATCACAAAACTGCAGAGTGACAAAACTAGAATTTTGAATCTAAGCTCAAAGGGTCACCAAACCAAATTTGGGTCCACCCACCCAGCCTATCAAAGTCAAGCACTGATATCGGCATTGCTGAGACAGAAGTTGAGGAATTTATTGCAGGCAGCAAGCAAGGAGTATCAGGCAGCTAATCCTTAAGGCCTAATCTCCCTGATGGCTTATGTGTAAGGGTTTTTAAAGGTGGGAAGGCAGAGGTTGCAGGCAAGGTCATATAATACATGGAGGCTACATATTGGTTTGGCCAAAAAAGGCAAAATATCTCAAAGTGAGGGCCCACAGGATAGGTGACCATTAGATGAATTCAAAGATTTTCTGATTTGAGACCAGGTGCAGTGGTTCACACCTGTAATCTCAGCGCTTTGGGAGGCCAAGGTGGGTGGATAACTTGAGGCCAGGAGTTTGAGACCAGCCAGACAAACATGGCAAAACACCATCTCTACTAAAAATACAAAAATTATCTGGGCATGGTGGTGTGCACCTGTAATCCCAGCTACTCAGGAGGCTGAAGCATGAGAATCGTTTGAACGTGGGAGGCAGAGGGTTCAGTGAGCTGAGATCGTGCCACTGCACTCCAGCCTGGGCAGCAGAGTGAGACTCTGTCTCAAACAAACAAACAAAAACCCAAAGATTTTCTGATTTGTGATTGGTTAAGTTTTGGCTACAAACTTGGGGTCAGCAGAAAGGAATGTTCTGCTCTGGCCTGTGGGTGTGACTTCCTCCAGGTCCCTCAGGAAGAAATTTAGAACAAAGAACAGTTGTGAGTGTTCAGTCCTCAGTTCCTCCTTATCTGAGATCTACGAGCCAACAGGTGGTATTTTCCATTTAGCGGGGTCTGGGTTTCTACAAAACAACTCAGGGACATATGTTAAGATGTTATCTCTAGTTTCTATAGGGAAACAAACATTTTGTGGCTCTAATTTTCTTTTTTTTTTAATTATACTTTAAGTTTTAGGGTACATGTGCACAACGTGCAGGTCTGTTACGTATGTATACATGTACCATGTTGGTGTGCTGCACCCATTAACTCGTCATTTAAGATTAGTTTGTGGCTCTAATTTTCTTGACTATTGTTTTAAGCTATTATTACCTTCTTACTTATCAGGGTGCTCATCTACTTCTTGAGGCTAGCCAGGTGGCTGGAATTTTCCTTGGAGGGACTCAAGAGTTTCCTTTATTTTTCATGCCTTAAATGGGTCTGTTCTCCCTCTTCAAAGCTCAAGCTCTTAAGGACTATGCTATTGTTAGATTTTTCGTATTGGAGCAGTACTTCCCTCCTACTCAAGAACACCCCTTCTTCAGACAGCCTGGCTGGGTCTTCATCCTGGGAGAGCTCATGAAACACAAACCAGATCTTGGCCCTCACGTGTGTCTAGGCAGAGCTGAGCCTGGGCAACACCAAGCATGCCCCCGATTTTGCATGTCCCAGCCAATTCAGAGTCAAGATCCACGCTCAGCTCCTTCCCTGCAAAGTGCTAATGATGAAGGATGGGGATCAAGTCAGCAAACTCCAGAAATGGTCTTAGACTAGGAGTCAAGCCTTGAGATCCTATTACACACCAGATTCATTCCCTGATTAGAGCTGCTGAATTCTTTTACTCTCACTGCACTCATGCTAAAGTTTCTTTCCTCCAGCCTCGTAACCCCAGAGGAGGCTGAGCCATGATACCCATTGTCTAGCAATAAATATTTAAGGAGCCCCTGAGATATGTCAGGCACCATCGCAGGTGCTGGGACAAGTGAATGTGACCAGGAAAGTCCCTCCCCTCTCAGAGGTTCTTTTCAAGTTGGAGGACAGCAAATACAGAAATATAGAGTCTAACATAACAACAGGGAGTAATAAACACTTTGAAGAAAAATAAAGTGGAATAAGAGGGTAGGGTTGCCATAGGGTTCTCTGGGCAGTCTTCTATGGAAAGGCCACTTGTTGGGGCAGAGAAAAAAAAGATGTCTGAAAGGAGGACTACCGGCCCCCCATAAGTGCGCTCCGGTCCATGCACAGGGCAATGGGCATGTAATTTCCTATGATTAAGACCTACAGTATGTACAATATTACTGCAACAGACACTGAGACTGACTTAGCATTGTTTCATAGCATCCGAGTTGCTCTGTTGGAGGAAAGTGCATGTGATGGGCATTCATTTGCTTCTGCCATCAGACAGATTCTCTACCTTTGTCTTTCCTACAAGATTCCCTAGGAAGGCAGGGCTCAGTGGCTCATGCCTGTAAGCCCAGCAATTTGGGAGTCTGAGGCAGTCAGATCACAAGGTCAGGAGTTCAAGACCAGCTTGGCCAACATGGTGAAACCCCGTCTCTACTAAAAATACAAAAATTAGCTGGGCATGGGGGCACGTGCCTGTAATCCCAGCTACTCAGGAGGCTGAGGCAGGAGAATTGCTTGAACAGAGACCCGGGAGGCAGAGGTTGCAGTGAGCCAAGATCGCACCACTGCACTCCAGCCTGGGCTACAGAGTGAGACTCTGATAAATAAATAATAAATAAATAAATGATTCCCTAGGAAGCTGACTCCCACTGAATGTGCCACTCAGGAGTCCCTGCTCTCTAGATTACAGTTGAGTTTGCTCAATGCAAGGCCCCAGCAGAAATGTTGAAAGTAAGAGCAAATAGATAGTTAACCACTCTTTAAGACAACAATGGATGTATACTTCTCTGGCCTCAGCTCCTGTGGGGAAGCTCCAGTGCCAGTCCCTGGGTGCTTCACCATTTTCCGTTAGTTCCTGAACCTTGTAAACTGACCCTTCACT
Organism: Homo sapiens; assembly: GCF_000001405.40. NCBI lineage: Eukaryota > Metazoa > Chordata > Mammalia > Primates > Hominidae > Homo > Homo sapiens. Next base: position 181,416,347 of record NC_000005.10, on the reverse strand, counting down.
AAATTCTTCCTAGTTAACCCTTTGAGAATGAAACCATTTCCTGCCAGGACTCTGACAGATACAAAGAACCCACAGCCGACTGCTGGGTGCGCGGCAGACCTAGTGCATGGCTCCACACTGCCATCTTGGGGGCTGGCACAGGCTGGCACTGAGTCTGGGGAAGGGAGCTGGGGCTGGAGGTGTGGAGGGGAAGACCGTGCATAGTTGCTTCCTGATCAGCTCTTTATTCGATTGAGAGTGAGGCAGGGAAGATTAGAGGGAAGCTTACAGTGGAATTCAGGGCTGAGGCTGCTATTCTTTTGCTCCTTGTAACTTCCTACAGTGTTGTCAGCATCCACATACTTCTCTGTGGGGTTGGTCTCAGAGCCAGGTTACCTTGTCTTAGGTCCAGTGGCAGCCTGACTGGCTTGGTGTCCTTGAACAAGTTACCTAACCTCTCCATACCTCAGTCCCTCAGCTGTAAAATTTAAAAAAAAAAAAAAAAAGAAGAAGAGTACCTACTGTATAGCATTGATTTGAAGATTGAATGAGCTGGTATTATACAACGTTTAGAAGCAGTGCCTGACATGCAAAAGGCTCTCAACAAATACTATCCTTTACTAATATCCTGTGTGTCTGTATCAGAGCTGGTGGGGTGGAGGGACAGAAAGAAGTGGGAGAAGGTAAAGAGATGGGCAAATGATCTCTAAAGTCTCTCTGGCACTAACACAATTCTTTATTATGTGTTTTGTCTGGCTCTTTATATTGATAGCTGTTCCAGAAGCAATCAATAGCTATTAGTCGGTTTTATTCTTATTTTTCTGTCTGATCTTACAGGGGAGCAAACTGTGGCAAAGCATGAACTTACTTCTCAGAAAATTAACCATTATGTTGGCAATCACTGTGATTATTTGAACTTCAGCGTCTGGACAAATTTAGTCACATGAAATACAGAAGAGAGATTTCTCATGGTTAAAATGAAGCTCTCTTTATTTGCTTCTGCTAATTAAAAAATCAGAGCTAAAGATACTTAAACACTACAGTTAAAATGCCATGGTTGTCTATTGGCTTAATGAATTCTCTTATGAAATCAACTCTAAAATGTTATCCATCATAAATCATGAAACACAATTTTTCTTATTCTCTTTAGAGCTTTACAATTCATCTTAAAGACCAGTGTTTACACTCTCTTCCGTAGGTTGTACAATAACCTTTGGCGAGAAAAAATAAATGTCTGGCTTTCTGACTCATAGGTGTGTTCCCTTTAACAGAAAAAGAAAATATGTCCTCTTTAAAACTGATGATCATTGGTCACCTCAATTTTATTGAAGTTCACTTCTGACCTCTTTAGATGTAGTTCTCTACATAAAACTGCCCAACAGAATTCTCTGTCTGAATGCCTCCTCCACAAACAAAATTTTAAGAACTAAAATCATCATCTTTCCTTCCAAATGTGCTCTCCCTATGTCCCCAGGGCTCTCCATGTGTAGAGCTGAGACCATTTGCCACTCAGTTTCCTCACCCAATTAATTACAAGTCCCAACAATTTTCCGTTGTTTTTTTTTTTTAGACGGAGTCTTGCTCTGTCACCAGGCTGGTGTGCGGTGGTGCAATCTCAGCTCACTGCAACCTCCACTGCCTGGGTTCAAGCGATTCTCCTGCCTCAGCTTCCCAAGTAGCTGGGATTATAGGTGTGTGCCACTACATCCAGATAATTTTTGTATTTTTAGTAGAGAGGGGATTTCACCATATTGGCCCAGATGATCTCAATCTCTTGACCTCATGATCTGTCCACCTTGGCCTCCCAAAGTGCTGGGATTACAGGCGTGAGCCACCATCCCTGGCCCAGTTTTGCCTTTTTAACATCCCTCAGCTCTTCAAATCCATTTTCTCTTCTCTAACACCTCCCCATTCCCCAGCTCGTAATGAACTCTTAAGTAGATTACTACGATCACCTCCCAAATGGTCTTCCTGGCTCCATCAGCCTTGTGACCTTCAAGTTCATTCTCCACATGGATGTCAGAGTAACTTTCTAAAATGAAAATCTGACCACGTTACTCTCTTGCCTAAATCCGCCTATGGCCGCTGTTAGGATCAAGTCTAAACTCCCGACCCTGGAACATCAGGTCTTTGTGCTCTGTTCAGTGCTTCTCTACCTCACCTGCAACCAACACCACTCCCACATCCATATTCTGCTCACCGTGTATCAACATGAACAGGAGGTGGGTGTTTCAGTCCCCAGGAAGACACTGGGCCTTTTCAATCATCTACTGCTGTGTAATAACCACCCTGCAAACTGACCACATGATTTCATTTTGCAAGGGTTCCTTCCTTGGGCTGTGTTCAGCAAAAGGGTTTACTGAGCTGGCAGGTCCAAGATGGCCTCACTCACAGGACTGGCTGTTGATGGGAGCCTTGATGCTCTTGGGCTCACCCCTTATCCTCCAGTAGGTTAGAGCTTCTTACAGTGGTTTCAGGCAGCATCTGAAGACAGTAAATGCAGAAGCTCCAAGGCTTCTTACATTCTAGCCTGGAAAATCACATCACATTGCTTCCTTCATATTTTTTTTGGCAAATCAGGTTGCAAGGCTTGCCCAGATTAGGGTAAAGAGGCAAAGAGGCTCCTTTTCTTTTCTTTTTTTTTTTTTTTTTTTTTTTTTGAGTCAGAATCTTGCTCTGTTGCCCAGGCTGGAGTGCAGTGGCGCGATCTAGGCTCACTGCAAGCTCTGCCTCCTGGGTTCACGCCATTCCTCTGCCTCAGGCTCCCAAGTAGCTGAGACTACAGGCACCTACCACCACGCCTGGCTAATTTTTTTTTTTTTTTTGTATTTTTTGGTAGAGACTGTGTTTCACTGTGTTAGGCAGGATGGTCTCCATCTCCTGACCTCGTGATCTGCCTGCCTTGGCCTCCCAAAGTGCTGGGATTACAGGCGTGAGCCACCGTGCCCGACCAAGAGGCTCCTTTTCTTGATGAAAGGAGTAGTGAAGTCACATTGCATGTCCTTGCAAAGGGACATGCAGACCACATTAGTGAGAATATGTGCCTGTATTTTGCAATCTGTAACATGGGCATAAACTAAATGTTTTCCAAAGGGAATAGGGCAAAACAAAAAGGACCTTGACCACTCCTTTGGCCCTGAATAAATCTAGGAAGCCTAAGAGTATGACTATCCTGAGGTAGAAAGAGGGTCACATGCTGGATAAGAGGTACCTGGGCTCTCCACTTACAAGAAGAGAGCATGGTTACATTTATAATCACCATTCCCAACACGCTGTGAGTGCAGGCAGCTACCAGGAGGAGAACAAAGGAAATAACCAGGACACCCATCTCTAAACCTGTTAATTTAATCACACGGAACACTTCTATTTAAAATTCCTGAGGGTTAAGATGTAAGAATGCTTATCAAGGTAAATGCTGTTCACACTGCTTGGAGTGTCAGGCCTAGATCTCTATCCATCAGAAACAACAATATCAATAACAACAACAGCAACATGATGATGGGGCAATTTCTGAAAAGCACCATGTATTTTATCGATACATGTCCGTTGCAGAAAATCCAGGTGAATCCAAAGAAGAAATAAATGTCTTCCACAATCCCATAGCCCAGAGCTAACTAACCACTATAAAGAACCCAGCGTGGTTTTAACTAATGGATCAAAAGATGCTCATCAAAAGCTCTGAGCTTTCCTGAGTGCTAACAGGAAACATCCAGCATCACTGGTCTCTCCAAGGCTGCAGGTGTCTTTGCCCATAGTGCCTGTTTTGTGTCAGGGAAAGAATCAACCTGGGAGCCAAGCCCAGGAATCAGGATGACCAAGACATACTGGACAAGGAGGGAACAAACCCATCCAAGGACACTCAAGGACAAATCAAGCAAATGAATTTAAGGGAGACCTGCTCATGGTCTGCTTTGCTGCTCAGCATGGCTGGGAGGCACAGTGGAAGATCATGCATCCTTCCCCTGGGACTCCTCTGCCAGAGCCTGAGAGCTTTCTCCTGCACACAGGCTAGGGGTAGGGCAGTTGGAATTGATCCATGCCTTCTAGCTAGACTGTGGGTCCCCTCAGTCTTGGGCATGGTGACAGCCCAGCATCAGACAGAGGTCAGTATCAAACTAGAAAATTTAATAAATGCTGTCAGATTTGTAGACCCAAGAAAATATAAACTGCCAATCACGGAGGAAAAAAATCTCTCAATGATCTTATCTTTATATGATTCCCTTGCTGCCTGGAGATTGACATTTCCTTGGGGATAATCTGGTCATAGGATTGGTGAAGGTGGAAGGGAGGCAACCTCCGAAGGTGGGGCCCTCTGCTCACCTGGGACAGGGAGGGCCTGAGGTAGGTGTCTGTGTGGGCTGGGGAGGAGGATGGGAGCAGTGCTTCTAGATGTTTCCACTTTCTCCTCATTAGATAATAATGAATGGGTGATTTCCCTAGTCACTGCAGTGTGAGGAAATCTACAAAATTAATTTCACAATACACTTTACAGGATAGGTGGAGAAACACATGAAGCACAACTGCAGTGGGTTATAAAAAATGGCCTTTCGAGTTGAGCAGTAAATTCGTTCAAGCAGCCATTCTGAAGGACAAACTGGCTCTGTATTTAACAGGGGCATTCCAGCACTTCTCTAGCTACTGGGTTGACAATGACTCACCAAAGCCTCTGGTAGCCACCACAGGACGCCCAGAGCACGTTTTAAAGCTGAACACCAAACTGCGGACTTCGGGAGTAAGTGAACTGACTGGTTTTTATTTTGTTTTACTGCTTTTAACATTACAGTAACTGTTACAGGTTCCAGCAGGATAACTGGGTGGAAATGAGTTTGGTTTCACTTAGTCTCTCTAAAGAGAAAGCAAGTTGGTAGACTAATACCTAATAAAAGCAAAGCTGCCAACAATTGAAATTGCCTGGGCTGCTCTGTGTGTCCCACATGCATGGGTGTGGGTGCCAGTGTGTGTGCGTGTGTGCATGCATGTGCATGTGTGTTGGGATAGAGTGGTAAGAAAATGGGAAATAATAAGAATGTTCAGTCCATAGCCCTTCATTATAAAAAGGTGAGCTGTAATAAATACTAGTGCCACATTTAGCCAAAACTTTACTCCAGCCAAAGGTGATATTTTCATGATAACATCCTGTGATTGCTTTGTTCTTCGTCTTTTATGTTCTTCCTAGATGGGCTCAGAACATACAAGAATTAAGTACACATCTTATTTTCCAGTGATAATGCTACCGGCAAATTCTGTTGTTTGTATAAACATCAGCCATGTTTATATAACTAAACTAGTGTTTTGTTTTGTCAATTCAGCAAGAAATTAGACCACATGGTGGCTTAATGCTGCATTGATTTGGCTATCAATTTGTTTTCACTTTTCTGCAAAATATTTAATACATTATTAAATTGAATTATGCTGATGCCACAGTTGTTCTTATCTCAATTGTCTTAAAATTCATTTAATTTTTTTTCCTTTGGTTTCATTATTCAAATTTTAACTTCAGTTCTCAACATTTTATCTGATGGAAGAGATGGAGTCCATTACTAAGGACTCCATTGTGCTCCATCATGCTAGAGTTGTAAAATAGATCTTTTAAAGGAAATTTACTGTGATTTTTTTCTATTTAAGAGCTTCCTCTCCAGTTGAGCATGTAAGAAAATTATACCAGGAGAATACAGTAAACTCTATGAGGCAAGCTATAAACATGTAGCATTGTGATTAGGGCTGGTTCTCCTTCTAGAAACATGGTAGGATTGCAATTTCATACCATCCTTGAAGTTAGAGAGAGCCACGTGACTCATTTAGCCAATGAACTGTGAGCAGAATGACATGTCACTTCCAGCAGAAGCTTTAAGAATCTGAGAGACATTCATACGTTTTCCATGTGCTGTAGCCTTATACCCAAAGCCTGGGTCCCAAGTGACCATGACAGGCAGAGCTCCATGTTGAGCCACAGAGATTTAGAGAATGGCTGTTAACACAGCATAATCCAGCCCATCCTGACTAATCTGATATTAACATGTATAATAAAGAATTCTATCAATGCTGAGGGAAGATGATTAGTTAAGGTCCTAGGTTGCAAGTCTCAAAACCTCTTCTAAGGATTGTAGACAGGAAATTAAATGACTTCTAGTCCCTAGAGTTCCCAATCTCCTACCATCCCATCCTAATATGACAGAAGTAATTCCTGAGTTGCTTCTGAAACCAGAGCTTCCCTCAGAACCCTTAGCCTGCCAGATGGCTTCTTGGAGAGCCCTCACTCACTTTTCTCCTTCTGCTATTGCTGCTCATTCATTCCAGCTTTTAAAAATTCATCTTTATCCAGGAACCTCGCTTCTAGAAAAGTCATACAGGTGCTTCCAGGAGGCTACATGGGCACCCATATTTTTCTAGCCACTTTCATTAGACCAATGCAGCAGAGAAGAAAAGCCTCAATAATTATTATGACATGGCATGTTAGGATACCAAGTAAATTGCATTTGTAAAATGTGATTTTTTGTTGGTGTTCACTTCGGCTCTACTGACATTTGGTAAGTATTATTGACTGACTGACTAACTAATGTGGTCATTAGTCTTCATAAAGAAAGGCTCTCTACAAAAACGGAGGGATGCCCTTTTTCTGGCATTTAATACGTAAGAAATTGCCTCCGATAGAAACCAGAGTTGCCTGATTACTATCAGCACAGGAGAAATGTATTAATGTGCCTTTCTAGTAACAGGTTTTTAGAAAGTCAAATATAAACAAATCTGTCTATTTGTGTGTGTGCATGTGGTAGTGGGGAGGGAAGAAAAAAGGAGGGGGAGAGAAAGAGAAATAAGAACCAAGTTTATTATACTGTATTCAGGGGGAAAACATTTTCCCAAGGTTCTAACAGAAGAGCAAAGTGCCACTGTCAATAGCCTCAGTAGTGTTAGGGTTGCTTTTATGTATTTATTTATTTACTTATTTATTTATTTTTCCTTTTTTTTTCCTTTCTCTTTTTTTCTTCTTTTTTTTTTTTGGACAGAGTCTCACACTGTCGCCTGGGCTGGAGTGCATTGGCGCAATCTTGACTCACTGCAACTTCTGCCTCCCAGGTTCAAGTGATTCTCCTGTCTCAGCCGCCCAAGTAGCTGGGATTACAGGTGTCTGCCACCGTGCCTAGATAATTTTTTTATATTTTTAGTAGAGATGAGGTTTCACTATGTTGGCCACGCTGGTCTCAAACTCCTGACCTCATGATCCACCCACGTTGGCCTCCCAAAGTGCTGGGATTACAGGCGTGAGCCACCGCCCCTGGCCAGGATTGCTTTTATAGCCAGTCTTCAGGTGCCCACTGTAGGAACAATGTCATTTAGCCCTCGGGATTATTCTGTGCCAAATATGGATAATGACTAATATTCAACACAGATATTCTCAGCTCAGAAGAGCAATTAGCAAATTCATAAATTAAGTGCTTGCTTCCTTTTTAGTCAAATACAAACATTTGTTAAAAGATATTATTTTGCTTTACACTTTTTCTCTCAGAAATAAACAGATGCTTGAATTCCCACAGTGCTGCTTGAGCCTCACACCATGTCATCCTGCCAGGCACCCAGATCCAGTTCTAGAGTTTCACATGATCATGAGTGTTGGTTAATAAGTCACTGTGAACTGGGAGGGGAGATTTTTCAGGAGTGCCACAGGGCTCTCCCTTTAATCACATACACTCCCTGCTTTCATTGGAAAGTGTATAATGATGTCAGAGTGCCCCAGAATGGAGCTAGTTGGAAGACTGCCGTCATAGGGATGCCTTAGTGAATTAATCAGGTTTTAATTTCTGGCTCTCAACTTTGTAGATGTAAAAGTTGATTTATCAATATGTGAGAAAGGATGAATCTTTCTGAAGGTTATGTCATCACACTCACTAAGCACACAGAGAATAATGTCTAGAATCTGAGTGCCATGTTATCAAATTATACTGAGACTCTTGCAGTCACACGGGCTGACATGTAAGCATCGCCATGCCTAGTACAGACTCTCCCTGCAGATGAAATTATATGGGATGCTAAATTATAATCAGAACAATGTTTGGTGAGCCAAAACTACAACAAGGGAAGCTAATTGGATGAATTTATAAAAATATACCTCAGCCAAAATAGCTTAATTCAGTCTCCCTTATCATAAGGATACTCTTGCCTAAAGGGACAGTAATATTAAAGACACTAGGAATAACCTCTGTACTTTGGACAGTAGACCTGCATAGCCCATTAGGCCTCAATGAAGTCTTATGCAAGACCAGAAGCCAATTTGCCATTTTAAGGTGATTCTCCATGTTTCTGCTCTAACTGTGTTTCACAATACTCAAGACACTGAATCAGGATGTTTCCTGGAGTGCAGGGAGCTGTCCGTGTTACTGAGCAGTTCTCAGCAACACAAAGATCCTACTGACTCCTCATCAGACTTCTTTCTCACTGGAATTTTACACCTGGGCTGTTAACACCAGGCCAGGTCAAATTCAAAGGAGAGAAAAAAGCTCATTATGAAGGGTAAAATCCAAAACACTGTGCATAAAGATATGTGTGCACAATTTTTATACATAAAGATTTCATAAAGCCAAAGCATCAGGAAATGAAAAGAGATACAGAAAGAAAAATGATGGTAAATGAGACATTAATTTACCCTTCTAATCTCTATCACAGCAAAAAGGTAATTAAAAAATCTATATGAGGACCAAAAAATACACAAAGATTATGTAGCAAAGCCTATAGCCTGAAAAAGTAAACATTGAAATTTGTATGTCCATAAAATGTTTACAAAATTCAGTACATATTACACACCCCACCCTAAAAACATCTAAGCAAAGTAGAGAATGTAGAAATGCTACAGATTATATTCTCTGATTATGACACAACAAAACTAGAAATTACAGCATGAAAATTTAAAAGCTTTCTCTTAAATAATTCTATGTCAAAAAGAAATCCAGGCCGGGTACAGTGGCTCATGCCTGTAATTCCAGTACTTTGGGAGGCCAAGGTGGGCAGGTCACTTGAGGTCAGGAGTTCAAGACCAGCCTCGTCAACATGGCGACACCCTGTCTCTACTAAAAATACAAAAATTAGCTGGGCCTGGTGGCGCATGCCTGTAATCCCAGCTACTTAGGAGGCTGAGGCAGGAGAATTCCTTGAACCCAGAAGGTGGAGGTTGCAGTGAGCTGAGATTGCACCACTGCACTCCAGCCTAGGTGACACAGCAAGACTCTGTCAAAAAAAAAAAAAAAAGAAATCCAAATAAAATTTCCAGAATATGTGGAAAATAGTGACAATAAAAATATTACACATGTGTAATCCCAGCATTTTGAGATGCCAAGGTGGCAGGATCACTTGAGACCAGGAGTTCGCAACCAGCCTGGACAACATAGGGAGACTCCATCTCCACACACGCCAAAAAAAAATTTTAAATAGCCAGGTATAGTGGTACTTCTTGTAATCCCATCTACTTGAGAGGCTAAGGTGGGAGAATCACCCAACCTCAGGAGTTCAGGGCTTCAGCAAGCCATGATCATATCACTGCACTCCAGCCTCAGCAACAGAGCAAGATCCTATCTCAAAAAAAAAAAAAAAAATCACATGTGGGAAATAGCTATAGCACAATAAAAATAAATGTATTAAGTATGAACAACAAAAAAGCTAGTAAAGGTTGAACAACAACTATCCTTAGGAAAGTGGAAATAATGTGTTAATAAATATGAAAGCAGGCTAGGCACGGTGACTCACATCTGTAATCCCAGCACTTTGGGAGGCTGAGGCAGGCAGATCACCTGAGGTCAGGAGTTCCAGACCAGCCTGGCCAACATGGTGAAATCTTGTCTCTCCTACAAATACAAAAACTAGCCAGGCTTGGTTGCGCACTCCTGTAATTCCAGCTACTTGGGAGGCTGAGGCAGGAGAATCTCTTGAACCTGAGAGGCAGAGGTTGCAGTGAGCCAAGATCATGCCACTGCACTCCAACTGGGGCAACAGAGTGACACTCCATCTCAAAATAAATAAATAAGAAAGCAGAAACTAATAAATTAGAAAACAGAAACATAGAACTAATTTATAAATCAAAGCACTATGCCTTGAAAAGAGGGAGAAAAATTGTGAATTAAGGAAGGGAAGAGATGGTTGGAGAGGAGGTGGGAGAAGGCAGAGATAATTGAAGGAGCAAAAGCATCTGGAGAAGCAAAGCCACTGAAAGATGAACAGGGCTCTGAAAGAAATGCTTGATTGCTATCTTTTCAAATGACTGCAGTTCCCAGTGACATCATTTTTCTCCTCCCTGGAAGTCTGAGGGGCAGTTCACTTATCTCCTCCCCTCCCCTACTCCTCACCCCACACTCAAAACCTGTCTATGCTCCTTTCATTCTCATATGACAGATTTCAGATGGCATTCTTATTTCCCTGATTTCTTTTTGAGATAGCTTGCATTTCCCTACTCTATATAAAGCCACCATTTATCAAATGCCTACATGGACCAAGCAGTCCACAAGGGCTTCACAGACAGTTTTACTAAACTCATGCCAAAACTTTCAGGTTTTATAGATAAAGATCTATACCTTATAGATAAAGGTATCTATAAGGTATAGATAAAGGTAAGGTATCTATACCTTATAGATAAAGAAATTGAAGCTTATAGAGTTTAAGTAATGTTCCCAAAGCCTCGTGGCTAGTAATTCAAACCTAATTTCTGCCTACTCCAAAGTCTATTTTTCCTCATGATACTATACTGCCTCTCCATGGATAAAGACAGAGATCACATATTAATAAAATTTGCACAAAGTCGGCAAATTGTTGAAAGGGAAGGCTAAGATGATTAATAAAATCAAGAGCCAGATGATCTCAACAACCTGAAATAACTGGCTGACAACCAATTTGAATAACTCCCTGCGGGTGAAGTTCAAAGTACTATTTGGGTTTTTTTTTTTAAGTTTGGCTGGGTGCAGCGGCTCACGCCTGTAATCCAAGCACTTAGGGAAGCCAAGGTGGGTGGATCATGAAGTCAGGAGTTGAAGACCAGCCCGGTCAACATGGTGAAACCCCATCTCTACTAAAAATAAAAAATTAGCCGGGCCTGCTGGTGGATGCCTGTAGTCCCAGCTACTCGGGAGGCTAAGGCAGGAGAATCGCTTGAACCCAGGAGGTGGAGGTTGCAGGGAGCCGAGATCGCACCACTGCACTCCAGCCTGGGTGACAGGGCGAGATTCCGTCTCAAAAAATAAAATAAAATAAAATAAAAAATAAAAGTTTGATATATTCAGAATCAGGGAGGTCTGTTGGGTGCAGTTCATTTGAAAAATTCCTCAGCATTTTAGTGATCTGTATGGTCCCTCTATCCGTCAGGGTCCTAGCAGGAAATTGTTGCACTCTCAAAGGATTAAGCAGAAAGAGTTTAATGAAGGGTCTCTTTCCAGGGTTAAGGGAACTGCTAGGGTTTGGATATTTGACCACTCCAAACTCATGTTGAAATGTGATCCCCATTGTTGGAGGTGGGGCCTAATGGGAGGTGTTTTGGTCCTGAGTGTGGACCTCTCACGAATGTCTTGGTGCCATCCAAGTGAGTTCTTGCTCGCTCTTTTTTTCTTTTTGAGATGTAGTTTCACTCTTGCTGCCCAGGTTGGAATGTAGTGGTGCGATCTTGGCTCACTGCAACATCCACCTCACGGGTTCAACCCATTCTCCTGTGTCAGCCTCCAGAGTAGCTAGGATTACAGGTACCCACCACTATGCCCAGCTAATTTTTGGTATTTTTAGTAGAGACGGGGTTTCACCATGTTGGCCAGGCTGGTCTCAAACTCCTGACCTCAGGTGATCCACCTGCCTCGGCCTCCCAAAGTGCTGGGATTACAGGTGTAAGCCACCGTGCCTACCTAGTTCTAGCTCTCTTAATTCCCACAAGAGCTGGTTGTTAACAAGAGCCTGGTACAAACCCCTCTCTCTTGCCACGTGATCTCTGCACATGCCAGCTTCCCTTCCCCTTCTGCCATGAGTGGAAACAGACTAAAGCCCTCACCAGAAGCAAATGGTGGCACCATGCTTCTTGCACACCTTCAGAACTGTGAACCAAATAAACCTCTCTTCTTTAAAATTATTCAGCCTCTGGTATTCCTTTATAACAACACACACACACACACACACACACACACACACACACACACACACACACGCAAAAGCAGACTAAAACAGGAACTAATTAGAAATGGTGATGCACCGAGGGATTGGCACCGAGGCTCCCCAACAGGAACTGAGGCCATGGATAGAAGGACACATTCATGTTATTTTTTTCTAATGGTTAAGTAATTATTTGCTCTTACTCTCAAAATTTCTGCCAAGGCCTCCCATGGACCAAACTCAACTAGAATCTAGGAAGCAGAGAACCTGAGTGTTGCATTCAGCAGAGGTCAGCTTCCTAGGGAATATTGCAGGAAGGGTGAAGGTAGAGAATCTGGTGGGGAAGCAAGCAAATGCCCATCACATGCACTTTCCTCCAACAGAGCGACTCAGATGCTATAAAACTTGCTAACGCAGTCTCAGGGTCTGATCACAGTAACATACAATCCAGGTTTTAATCATCAGAAATCGCAGTCCTATTGTCTTCTGCACAGACCCAAACACACTTGGAGGTCATGTTCAATATGAATACCTCACAGAGAAGGAAATTTACGCACGAGAAGTACATCTGCAGAAAGCCAGCTGGCATGTCAACCATTCGAAAACTCAGGGTGTTCGGGATAAAGAAGACTCAGGAAGACAAGTATGAAGCATAATCTGTGACATTATTGATATCTTCCTGATATCAATATTATTGATATCTTCCTGAAGAACATAATTCCTGCCTACCATCAACAAGCATCAATACTTTCTACCAGCTATTCTCAACCCTCATCATCGGAAGAGACAGACACTGACTGTGTCAAAGTATTAGTCCCATCATTCAGCAATTAACTTTAGCTCAATGCTTCAAAAATTCTTCAGGCCCTGTGTAATTTCAGCTATGTACATTAATGATGAGTACCCATACAACCATTCTGTTTCTTATTTTCAGTACCATATTTAATAAATATCAGTTATTCAATACTTTATTTAGACATTTTGTTAGATTATTTTGACCAATGAAGTCTAATCAAAATGTTCTGAGCATGTTCAAAGTAAGCTAGGCTAACCTATAATTTTTGGTGTGCTAAATGCATTTTTAACTTATGATATTTTCAGTTTACGGGGGTTTGTTGGGACATAACTTCATCATACATCAAGGAGCATCTGTATATGGGATATAGTTAAAGCAGTGATCAGAGGAAAATCTATAGCCTTAACACATTTATTAATAAAAGTGTAGGAATTAAATTATCAGCTGAAAAATGTAAAAAGTATCTAAAAGAGTAAGCAGAAAGTACAAGAAAGAACCCATAGTAGAAAAAAGTGAAAATTAATAAAATAAGAAGCCAAAAAACAGATCAAATCAGTAAACCAAAAATCTTGTTCTTTAAACAAATCAACAAAGTTGACAAAAAATTAGATCTTTTAATCATGAATAAAAAAAGAGAAAGCACAAAAATGAATAAGGAATGGTGAGAGAAATAACTATTGATAATCAGCAAATAAAAAATCATTAAAAACAATGTTGTTCACATCTATGAAAAACATTGAAAGCTAGAGGGAATGGGTAATTTTCCAGAAAAATACAATTCACCACAATTGACTTCAAAAAAAAAAAAAAAAAAGAAGTACAGCACTTATGTGAGCAATTTCCATAGAGAAATACAGTTGTCATGGAATTATAACACACACACAAACACTAGGTTTAGATGTTTTCACAGAGAATTCCACCAAACCTTTAGAAATCAGATCATCCAAAGGCAAATTAACAACCCTCAGCCATTTGAGGCAAAATATTACAATTGAGGCAAGATATACTGTACTGAAAACTTGAGGAAAAAGCAGGAGAGAAAGTTCCTTTGGGAAATTCGAATACTCAAAAGTGCTTACATACAATGAAAAATTTGGAAATCCATAAGCATGGCCAAGGTGGGACACATGCTCAGAAAAGGCCTGAGAAGACACTAATAACTCACCTTTAGTAATTCCTAGGCTCACAGCAAGAAAAAATGAAGGCTAAGGCAGAATTATATATGGCTCCACTAAGTGTTGAGGGAGCCCCAATACAGAGTCAGTAAGCAAAGTCTGGGAGATGTTTTTCATATTTTTTTCTTTTTTGGCTCCTTGCAGTCAAGGAAATCATTTTTAAATCACTAAATGCTAAATGAACACAAGCTAAAGGAACCGAGCCGCCTTCAAACATCAAACATAAAAAAGAATGCAGATATTACAAAACCAGTTTACAAAAGTTACTAAACAAATAAAAACTACATCCCACAGTGGGTAACAAAAATAACCTTGAAGAAGGGAAAAATTTGGTTTCCAGAATAAACACATTATAATATCCAAAATGTCCAGTTTTCAACAAAAATTAAGAAGCATGCAAATAAACACAAAACTATGGCCCATTTACAGAAGAAATAAATGAGACTCTCCCTGAGTAAGCAGATATTGGAAATATTAGACAAAAACTTTATATAACTGTCTTAAATAAACTTAAAGAGCTAAAGAAACCCAAGAGAATGACATATAAATAAATAAGAAATATGAATTTTTTAAAAGGTACAAAAAAATTCTGAGGCTGAAAAGTACAATAACTAATTAAAAAGTTACTTTTTACTTAGGGTTCCAATAGAAGATTTGAGCAGCTGGAAAAAAGAATCAGTGAACTTGATAGATCAAGTGAAATGATTCAGTCTGAAGAGCAGGAAAATGAAAGAATGACAACAAAAAAGAATAGAGCCTAAAGACCTGTGTAACAACATCAAGAATGCCTACATACAGAATCCTGGTGGGGAGTGAGGGGCAGGAAGACTATTTGAAGAAATGTGTTTGAAAGCTTCCCAAATTTCACTAAAAACAAATATATACATTCAAAAAGCTCAGTGCACTTCATCAAGGAAATATACAAAGATATTCACACCAAGACACACTACGTTTCAAATTGTCAAAAGGCAAAGCGAATGTTTGAAAGCAGCAAGAGAAAGGCAACGCGTCATTTACAAAGGATCCTCAATAAGTTTGACAGCAGATAGTGCATTATAATCCATGGATGCCAGAAGAGCTTAGGAAAAAGGCAATGCATCATTTACAAAGGATCCTCAGTAAGTTTGACAGCAGAGAGCTCATTATAAACCATGGGTGCCAGAAGAGCTTAGAATGACATTTTAAAGTTCTGAAAGAAAAAAACACTGTCAACCAAAAATTCTGTAACTTGGAAGATGCCCCTTCAAGTATTAAGGATAAATTACACATTCCCAGATTAAAAAAAAAAGAGAGAGAGAAAGAGAAAGAAAGAAAGAAGAGAGAGAAAGAAAGGGAGAGAAAGAAAAAGAAAGAAAGAAAGAAAGAAAGAAAAGGAAAGAAAGAAAGAAAGAAAGAAAGAAAGAAAGAAAGAAAGAAAGAAAGAAAGAAAGAAAAAGAAAGAAAAGAAAGAAAGAAAAGCAAGCAAGCTTTAAAAGTTCATGTTTGGTAGGCTGTACTTCAAGATACACTTTTAAAAAAAAAGACTCCTTCAGATACAAACTAAAAAACACTAGAAAGTAACTCAAAACCACATAAAGAAATAACTCCAGTAAGGATAACTACATAGGTAAATATAAAAGCAATTATCATATTTTTTGTAAGTCTTTTTAAATATTCTATATGTTTTAAAACAAATGTGTAAAATAATGACTATAAATCTATGTTAATGAAGCATGATGTATAAAGATGTGGTTTGTGAAATTACCAACATAAAGAAATTCATAGGAAACTAAATAATAATAGAGATTTTGTATACTATTGAAGTTGTTTCAATTTATTCTAAATTGTTCCAAATTAAGAATGTTAATTGTAAATCCCCATGGTAACCACTAAGTTAATATCTTTTGAAAATACAGAAAAGGAAAGCAGAGGGTAAACACAGTGATATGCTACAAAATAGCAACTAAACACAAAAGAAGGCGATAATTGAGGAAATTAGGAACAAAGGAGGTATAAGACATACAGAAAACAAAAGCAAAATGGTAGGAGTAAGCCCCTCTTTATCAGTAATTACATTAAATACAAATGAATTAAACTCTCCAATCCAAAGAAAGAGATTGACAGAATGGATTTTTAAAAAATGATCCAACTATATTGTCCACAAGATACTCACTTTAGATCAAAATACACAATGAGTTGAAATGAAAGGATGGGAGAAAATATTCCATGTAAGTAATAACCAAAGGAGATCTGAGGCAAATATACTTATATCAGACAAAATAGACTTTAAGTCAAAAACTGTTACAAAATACAAAGAACAGTATATATTGATTTCAAAATTAAACAAGAAGATATAACAATTATAAATATATGTACACCAACTAACAGGGCTCCAAAATATATAATGTAACCATTGAGAGAATTAAAGGGAGAGACAGACAATTCCACGAAAATTGTTGGGCATTTTAAAACCCAACTTTAATAAAGGACAAAACATCCAGAGCAAATATCAAGGGAGGAATTAGAGGATTTGAATAAAACTATAAGCAATAACTATAGATAACACTTCTCTCAAAAACTGCAGAATACACATTCTTCTCAAGTGAACATGGAACATTCTCCAGCACAGATGATATGTTAGGCCATAAGATAAGCTCAATAAACTTAAAAAGATTGAAATCATGCAAAGTATCTTCACTGACCACAATGGAATGAAATAAGATATCAATAACAAAAGAAAAACTAGAAAATTTACAAATATTTGGAAATTAAACAACACAGTATTTACCAACCAATGAATCAAAGAACAAATCATGAGGGAAATTAGAAAATGTTTAGAGACGATTGAAAACAAAGATATAACAAGATGGGTGTGATATATCAAAAGCAGTGCTCAGAGTTGTAACACCTACATTTTAAAAAAGAAACATGTCAAATCAATAACCAAACTTTACTCAATAAACCATAAAAGGAAGAGCAAACAAAATCCAGAGCTAGCAGAAGGAAGGAAATAAACATTAGAGCAGAGATAAATGAAATTGAGAATTAAAAAATTATACAGAGATCAACAAAACTAAAAGTTGGTTCTTTTAAAATATCAATAAAATTAATATACTTTTACATAGACTAAGCAAAACATCTCTATTCAGCTGACTTTTTTTTACAAGGGAGCCAACATTATTCAGTGGGGAATAATAGCTTTTTCAACAAAAAGTGCTGGGAATACTGAATATTCATATGCAAAAAAAATGAAGCTGGACCCCTACCTCACATTATATACAAAATCTAGATTGGATCAATAATGTAAATATACGAGTGAAAACCATACATGCTTAGAAGAAAACATGGAAATAAAACATTGCTGTGGATTGGCAATGCATTCTTAGATAATACACCAAAAATACAAGCATGAAACAAACAAATGTAGCCAAAATGTACCAGAATCTGAAAACATGTATTATCTATAAAGAATTAGAGGGAAATTTGGTGAAAGAAATATGGGAGAATGGGATATTGCTCTGTGAATGCTTTTGTGCATAATTGTACATTTTTAATTAAGTTAATCTTTTACACTCTCAAAGTGTGATATTAAGCAAGCAAAGATAAGTTATTACAAGACTCTAAAACCGAATGCAATGAGAAACAAGTGAATCCAAATATATTTCAAATGAATGAATGACATAATCAAACTTAAGGGGAAAATAATAATTAATCTGATTAATTTTTGACTGTTCTCTTATTTCAAATTGACTTTTGAACATACTTTGACTACATACTATTGCTTGAAAAAATAAAATATCTGCAAAAAATTATTAAATCTTCATGATAGGATTTTTTCTTTTTATATTAGTATAAATATAACAATTCTGAAACAAATGTATGTGCATTGTAAGATTAAGCCAATGAGTAAATATTAATATATTTGTATTGCTAGAACCCCAGATTCTCACTGTGAAAGGACAGAGATACAGATATGGAATAAGACAAGGAAAGAAGCAGCCCACTGAGTTACATTAGAATCAGTATTATCAACATAAATAAGCAATGTGCTCTCTCACATGCTCTTTCCTTCTCTTAAAAAATATATAATATGTACTTATTATATATTATATGCATAGACACACGTGTGTCTATACATATCCTACATGTACATATTGAGGATTAACAGGTGCTAGTAGAAAATATTAACTTTCTTTGTATTAACAGGTGTTAGTAGAAAGTAGTAGTAGGTGCTAAGATAAAAGCCATAATTAAACCTCCTGGTGAATGAACACACCATCACCTACAATCTTACCAAAAATAGAATCAAGCACGTGTCCTAGTCAAACCTCTGGATTCAACTGTCATTTGGATAAAACGCAAAGGATAGTGAAAATGTCGATCTTCACTGAGAGTCTCACCAGCAAAATTCACAGTGTGGACACCAAGTGACAAAAATCCCAAATTTTTCAACAAATATATTGTATGGGAAAGAAAACTTTGAAAAGAAACCTGTATGTTAGAAGGGATTTTAAAAACACGACAAATGAAAACAAATGGGCAAGACTAAATCATAGTGTCTTGGAATGCATGCATGAAGGACACAGCCGTGAAAATGCAAGGACGCCTCTACTGGAACAGTCATGTTTATCGTCACTTTTCAGGAGAAAGGTGGCTGCAGTTGAGGAGAGTCACATGCTTCAGGGCTGGCAAAGTCCTATATCTTGACTTATGTGATGATTACAGGGATGTTTACAAAAATCAAACTATAAGTTTGTTTTGTGCCATGTTTTGTATTGTGTGTGTGTGTTTTGTTTTTCAACTTAAAAATAAATAAAATCAAAACCAAGGCTTCATTATCAAGTAGCACAAAGTCTCCAATCTATAACCTCCTTTGTCTGGATATCTGCATTTAACTACCATTGCCAGAGCTAATCCTGACAATGCATTCATATTTTTAACACTGAAACACAGTAAACAGGGAAAATTTTGCTCCTCTAAAACAGGGCATCTTCAGGCAATCAGAACAACTCAGAAAGTTTCTGTCTGTTGCATAAAACTCCCCTGTGCAAAGAGTTACACAAAATGCTGTCATAGTAAAGGTAGTTAACTAACGGCACTAATTGTTCTTGGGCAGTGGCCAAGTGGAACTTCAGAGACCTGGCATTGCCAGCCAGAAATCACTTGTCATGGGAATTGTCTCCTGGAATCACTTTGGTTGTCCCAGGGTAACGCAGGGAAAGTGGTTAATGGGTCACTTGGGGGTGGCATCTTCATCAGTAAATCACATTTACTTTCTCCTACTAAGAATTTTATTTTTGGCCATGAAGCCAAAAGTCAGCTCTTAAATAACAAGGGAAGCAAATAATCATTGAATAAAAATAGCAGAAAGAAAAAGCTGTGCAAAGAAATTTATGTTTTTAATTTGTTATATATGTATATTTTTATCATACTTTAAGTTCTAGGGTACATGTGCACAATGTGCAGGAATAAAATTTATGTTTTTAAAATTTATTCTACATTATGAATTCTACATTAGAAAAATAAACCATAGCCTCATCACAGGCACTTAAATACACTGAAGCTGCCAAAACAATCTATCGTTTTGCCTACGTACTTATCAACTTCCTCATAGCAAACTGGGAGAAAAAAGCAATGGAATGAATAAAATGATAGCCACAAAAATCAAGGTGGGAGAAATACTTATTATATGTCCATAAAAAATTTTAATTAATGCAAAGTATTAACACCAATGATTGCAGTAATACAGATCTTACAAATGATAGTTTTAGTCTGAACAGGACTATCCAAAAGTTAATTTTCTATAGTAACAGTTTTTAAATAAAATATCAATTCCTGAAACACATAAAATGGTCCATGAGTATACAACGAGTGAAAAAAAACAAATTCAGAGCAAAGATAAATTAAGAAGTATCTAATATTCAAACATAGTCAAAGAGAGGGAGATTTCTGGATAATCACTTAAACCCATGGTTAAACATAAATGCATATATGTTAATGTTTACTGAATAACTTATCTGTGCCAAGTGGTGTATTAATGATTCATTTTTATTTTTCACTAAATCTTTTCTCTAAAGTTGGTGTAGCCTGCAACTAAATGCAAGAAATCTGACCTAGGACCTGCACTTCTTACCATTTTGCTCATATTTATTCCCTGTGCATTTTTGTAACATGTATATGTTATATATATAGAAAGAGAGAGAGGCAGAGATGGAAAGTAATTTATGGAGTTTGATGTTATGTCAGGGTAATTACATGATTATATAATTAACAGGTTTCTTTTTAAATCAGCTATATCAATAGAAAAATAAATGTAGGAATCAAGAGACTCATTCTGTCCATCTGTGATAGTTCCATCATGATACTGCATTGTCAAGTCATTGCTCCAAAAATATGGTTTAGCTCAACACTGAGTGACTATAGGAAACCAGAAACCAGGCTGGGCGCTAAAGATGCAAAGATGAATGAGACATCATCTCTGCCGTCCAAAAGCTTACTGTCTAGTGGGAGAGTTACACACGTAAGGACAGTAATCTAATAAGAGCTAATAAGTGAAAACTAAGATAAATTAATAATACAAGATTACAGGGAAGGTTTCCAAAGTCAATGAGGCCTCAAATGAATCTTGAAAGTGTGCAAGGATTGACCAAATGAAGAAATGTGTAAGTTTTTCAAACAAAAAGGAACAGCATGAGCAAATGCAAGGAGGCCTAAAATAAAGAGATGTGTAAAGAGGTGTAAGCAGCTTTGTACTGCTGCCTGATAATTAGAAGAATATCGGGAGTAACAAGAGCTATAGAAGAGAGTCACAATTATGGAAAAATATTTATTAAATTATAAGAAATTTATAGCATAAGGAATAGTAGGACCGTTAAATGTTTTAATAAAGATGATGCTTCTTTTTTTAATATTTATTTTTATTATACTTTAAGTTCTAGGGTACATGTGCACAACGTGCAGGTTACATATGTATACATGTGCCGTGTTGGTGTGCTGCACCCATTAACTCATCATTTACATTAGGTATATCTCCTAATGCTATCCCTCCCCTCTCCCCCCACCCCACAACAGGCCGCGGTGTGTGATATTCCCCTTCCTGTGTCCAAGTGTTCTCATTGTTCAAGTCCCACCTATGAGTGAAAACATGCGGTGTTTGGTTTTTTGTTCTTGAGATAGATGATGCTTTAAATTGACCACTCTAGCTGCATTGTGGGAGGAAAAAAGATTTTAGAACAAGACTAGAAACAGAATAATTAGAAAAATGCAACTACAATGCAGATGAGTGATTATCAAGGTCTGAACTGAATAGTGGAAATAGAGATAAGGAGGCAAATTCAAGATATGTGCGTGACAGTAAAATTAACATGACCTGGTGTTTGATTGACTCTGTAAAGTGAAAGGAAAGGATGAATAATCAACAAATAATATTTATTCTACCAAATGCCTCCATGCCGCTTTGATGACAGGATAATATGTAAGCTTTTCTATATTTCAGAAACTATATGACATGACGAAAAGTAAAAAGGGGATGGGGGTAAGGAGGTATCCTGAATTGACTGAGAAATAAGGAGGTATTCCACAGAGAATATAAATAAACATATACTTAGTGTTCAAGGAATAATAAAAAAGAGAACATCTATGTGTCCACCATACAGGATATGAAATAGAACATTTGCCGGCCATGGTGGCTCACACCTGTAATCCCAGTACTTTGGGAGGCCGAGGTGGGAGGATCACTTAAGCCCAGGACACAGGTTGCAGTGAGCCAAGATCACACTATCGTACTCCAGCCTGGGCCACCATGTCTCAGAAAAATAAAAAAACTAGATGTCTTGGAGGATTGGAAACAAAATAGAACTTTACTAGTGCCTTAGACTCCCATTGGGTGCTCCTTGCCAATTGTGTTCTCCTTTATTTCCTGCTGGATATGACCACTGTCCTTCCATTGCATTGTATGTGTTTTTTAATAGACTTTAATGGTTCTCAAGTGATGCATTATTTAGTTTGGTTCTTTGAAACTTATATAAATGAAATTATTTTGTAGAAGTTCTTTCACCTTTATCAGAAGGTACTTTCACCTTGATTCAATAATAAGTTTGCATATTACAACCTTGTTGAATGTTGGTGTAATTCATCCATTCGTATTGCTATATGATATTCCACTACATGAATATGTCGGACTTCATTCCTCAGATCTATTGTTGATGAACACTTGAAATTTTTCCAGTTTTTAACCATTACAAACAATGCTGCTATGAACATTCTTTTGTAAATCACCTGGTTCATATGTGCAAGATATCCTCTGGGGTATATATTTAAAAGTAAAATTATTGAGTTATTCAACATTACCATGAAATGCTACACTATTTTTTTTAACAATCCTACCAATTTACACTTCTACCACGAACAGATAAGCATTACCATTGGTCTTCATTTGTAGGAACCATATTTGTCTTTTGCTCTGGGGGCTTTGTTTTGTTTTGCTTTGTTTTTTGCTTAGAAGTGCTTTGGCTATTAGGGATCTTTTTTTGGCTCCATGTGAACTTTAGGATTTTTTTTTAATTTTGTGAGAAATAACGTTGGTAATTTGATGGGAATTGCATTAACTCTATAGATTGTATGGGTGATATGGTCACTTTAGCTATTGATTTTTCTAATCCATGAGCATGGGATGTTTTTCCATTTGTTTATGTCATCTATAATTTCTTTCATTAGTATTTTGTAGTTCTCCTTGTAGAGATCTTTCATTTATATAGTTATGCATTCCTAGGTATTTTTCATGGCTATTGTAAATTCAGTTGAGTTCTTAATTTGGTTCTCAACAAATTAATCTCAACAAACATTCAAACAGCTTGAATGTATTTGGTGTATAGAAATACAACTGATTTTTGTGGCTTGTTTATCCCAAGACTTTACTGAAGTCGTGTATCAAGTCTAGGAGTCTTCTGAAGACTTTAGGGTTTTCTAGGCCTACAGTCATGTCATCAGTGAGCAGAGATCATTTGACTTCTTTTCTAATTTGTATACCTTTTATTTCTTTCTCCTTTCTGATAGTTCTGGCTAGCACTTCCAGTACTGTATTGAATAGGAATGATGAAGGTGAACATCCTTGCTTTTTTCCAGTTTCTAGAAGCAACACTTCTAACTTTTGCCCATCCAGGATGATGTTGGCTGTGGCTTTGTCATAGATGACTCATTTTTTGAGGTATACTCCATCTATACCTATATTGTTGAGGGTTTTTATCATAAACAGATGTTGGATTTTATCAAATGCTTATTCTGCATCTAATGAGATGATCATAGGGTTTTTGTTCTCAGTTCCATTTATGTGGTGAATCATGTTTATTGATTTGTCTATTTTGAACCATTCAAGCACCCCTGGAATAAAGCCCACTTGATCATGATGAATTATCTTTTTGATGTGTTGTTAGCTTCAGTTTGCTAGAATTTTGTTGAGTATTTTTACATCTGTGTTGATCAGGGATAAGGATTTGTAGTTTTCTTTTGTGTTCTTTTTAAAATTTTCCTTGTTAATTTTACTGCACAGTATTATTTTAATGATGAATAAAGTGTTGAGCTGGACATGTGTACCTTGTTCCTCATGTTAGAATGAAACTGTTTAATATGTCATGATTATTTATAATGTTGAGAGTAGTTTTTGTGTATATATTAAGATATTTACATCAGTTCTCTTCTATTCCTAGTTTGTTATTATTACAAATAGTTTCAAATGTGAACAAGTGCTTTTCCCACAGCTATTGAAATAACCATATTTTTTTCTTTTATTCAGTTAATGTGGTTAATTTCATTGTTTGGTTTTCTAATTTTAAACCATACATTCTTGAAATTACTGCACTTAGTCATGATGTATTTTTCTTTGGAGTATATTGTTGGATTATATTTGCAAACATTTTTGTTTAGAATTATTATGTAGTATATTAGTCTGTAATTTCATTTCTTTTAATATCCTTGTATGGTTTTACTATCATGGAGGTACCACCATATAAAACAAGTTGGAAAGTGTTATGTCTTCCCAATTCTCTAAAAATATTCATGTAACATTGGCATTATTTCTTTATTAAATATTTGGTAATATTTCTTTATTAAATATTGCATCCACCTAGCCCTGGAGTTCTTTCTACAGGAAAAAAAAATTTTCTAAATAAAATTTCTACAATGAAAAAAAAACTACTCAGTTTTTCTAGTTTTTTTCTGATCATTTCATAAAAGTAGGTATTTTTCATAGGAACTTGACCATTCCTTATGATTGTCAAATTTATTAATATAAAGTTTCATATTTTATATTTATTTTATCAGATAAATAAAATTATATGTTTTGAAATATATATTCATTGTAAAATAGCCATGTTAAGCTAACATATGCATTACCTTACATGCTTATCTTTTTTTATGAGAACACTTAAAAATCTACTCTTAGCAATTTTGAAGAATACAAGTACATCCCCTATGGAGAACAGTTTGAAGGCTCCTCAAAAAAGTAAAAATAGAGCTACCATGTGGTCCAGCAATCCCACTGCTGCATATATACCCCCCAAAAAAGAAATCAGTATATCGAAGAGATATCTGCACTCCCGTATTTGTTGCAGCACTATTTACAATAGCGAAGTTATGGAGTCAACCTAAGTGTCCATCAACAGATGAATGAATAAAGAAAATGTGGTACTTATATACAATGAAGTATTATTCAGCCATAAAAAGGAATGAGACCCTGTCATTTGCAACAACATAGATGAAACTGGAGGTCATTATGTTAAGTGAAATAAGCCAGGCACAAAAAGACAAATACTATGTGTTATCACTTATATGTGGAATCCAAAAAGCAAACAACTGAACTCATGGAGATAGAGAGTAGAAGGAAGTATACCAGAGGCTGTGAAGGGTAGTGGGGGTTGGGAGAGGTGGGGGATGGTTAATGGGTACAAAAAAAGAAAGATTTAATAAGACCTAGTATTTGATAGCACAACAGGGGGATTGCAGTCTAAAATTCAATTATACATTTAAAAATAACTGAAAGAGTATAATTGGATTGTTTATAACACAAATAATAAATGCTTGAGGGGATGAATATCCAATTTTCCATTATGTACTTATTGTACATTGCATGCCTGTACCAAAATATTTCATGTACCCCATAAATGTATACACCTGCTATGTACCCACAAAAATTAAATTTAAAAACAATACATTGTTATCCACTATAGTCACCATATTGCACAATAGATCTGTTGAATTCATTCCTCCTGTACAATGCAATTTTGTACCCTTTGACCAACATCTACCCAATCCTCCTGGTAACCATCATTCTACTCTGTACTTCTATGTGTTCAGCCTTCTTAGACCTCCACATACAAGTGAGATTATGCAGTATCTGGCTTTCTGTGCCTGGATTATTTTACTCAGTATAATGTCCTCCCGGTTCATTCATGTTGTCACAAATGATACTTTTTTTATTTTTTAAGGTTGTATACTATTCTATTGTGTATGTGTACCACATTTTCTTCATCCACTCATGTGTCGATGGATACTTAAGTTAATTCCACATCTTGGCTGTTGTGAATAATGCTACAATAAATATGGGAGTACAGATAACTCACTGACACACTGATTTGATATCTTTTTAATATATGCCCAGAAATAGCATTACTGAATCATATGGTAATTCTATTTTTACAGAATCATTTATACTGTCTTTTACAATGGCTGAAATAGTTTACATTCTCAACAATTACAAGGTTTTCCTTTTCTCCACATCCTCTCCAACACTTGGTATCTTCTGCCTTTTCTGTAACAGCCATTCTAACGGATGTGAAATGGCATTTTATTGTAGTTTTAATATGCATTTCTCTGATGATCAGTGATAATTAGCATTTTTATATATCTGTTGGCCATTTGTATGTCTTCTTTTGAGAAATGTCTATTTAGATCCTTTGTCAATTTTTCATTAGGGTTCCTTGTTTTCTTATTATTGTGTTGTTTGAGTTCCTAAGATATTTTGGACATTAGCCTCTTATCAAATGTATAGTTTGCAGATAATTTCTCCCATTTTGTAGGTTATCACTTCACTCTGTTGACTTTCTTTTGCTGTGCAGAAGCTTTTTAGGTTGATGCTATTCCATTTGTGTTTTGTTGCTTTTCTTGCCTGTGCTTTAGAGTCATATCATAAAATATTATTGCCCAGACCAATGTCTTGGAGTTATTCCCCTGTTTTCTTCCAGGAGTTCTATAGTGCTAGGTCTTACATTTAAGTCTAACTTATTTTGAATTTATATTTTTATATGGTATGAAATAAGGGCCTAAGATCAATCTTGTGGACATTCAGTTTTCTCAACACCATTTTTTGAAGAGACTGTTCTTTCCCCATGTGTGTTCCTGGCACCTTTGTTGAAAGTCAATTGACTATAATATGTAGATTTATTTATGGGCTCTTTATTCTGTGTAATTGGTCTATGTGTCTGCGTTTATGCCAGTACCATGGTGTTTCGATTGCTATAGCTATGTAGTATAATTTGAAGTCAGGTAATGTGATATCTCCTGCCTTGCTTTTTTCGATCAAGATTATTTTGGCTTTTCAGAGTTTTTTGTGATTCCATACAGATTTGAGAGTTGTTTTTCTATTTCTGTGGGAAAATGTCATAGGAATTTTGATAGAGATTGCATTCAATATGTACATCACTTTGGATAGTATGGACATTTCAAACATATTACTTTTTCCAATCCATGAACATGATATATCTTTCCATTTATTTGTGGCTTCTTCAATTGTTTTCATCAATGTTTTGTAGTTTTCAGTGTAAAGATCATTCACCTCTTTGTTTAAATTTACATCTAAGTATTTTTTGTTGCTATTATAAATAGGATTGTTTTCTTGATTTCTTTTTTTGTATAGTTTGTTGTTGATGTGTAGAAATGCTACTGAATTTTGTATGTTCACATTGTATCCTGCAACTTTACTAAATTCATTTATGAATTCTAAATTTTTTGGCAGAGTTATTGGTGTTTTCTATATATAAGATCATGTCAACTGCAAACAGAAACAATTTAACTTCTTCCTTTCCAATTTTCATGCCTTTTATTTCTTTCTTTTGCCTAATTGCTCTGGCTAGGACATCCAGTACTATGTTGAATAGAAGTTCTGAGAGTGGGCACCCTTGTATGAAGTTTTCCACAACATCTCTTATCTTTTTATTAGCTATATATTAATACGGATGTTTCTTCTTCATCAGGAGTTTGAAAAATATGTCTTTTCTCTATATTGTTCTTAATCAGTCTTCCTAGAAGTATTTCAATTTCAAAAAGTAGCAACAACTGTGGGAGTTCAGTCAGGCTGGTGGGAAAAATTTTAAAGATAGTTATAAGAAATCGACACAAACCTTCATGGAAGGCTGGGGGTGTTGTATAGCTTCAGTAATAGATCTGAATGAAGGCGGCCTAATCCTTCCTTGAGTAAATAGCTTAAAGTAGGTGCAAAGGAATGTAAGGGAGTTTATCTAAATAACTTGTTTACTCATGTGGTCCTGAAGCCAACCTTTGATCATTCACAGGCAGGATGGCTCTCTCTCGGGGGAGGGTGACCAGGTTAATTACCCTCTATTTGTGTTGACTAAAAGCCCCTGTCATTTAATGTTTTTTCAATAAATGCTGGCAGGGCTAGCTAGTCAGGGCTCGTGGCTGCCAGAACTCTTTCTGTGCACGGCCCAGCCCCCTAGCGGCTCTTTCACTGAATAATTGGTGTCTGAGTACATTATTCATCCCTCGTGCAGCTGGGGTCTGCAGGACAGACCCCCACAAACAACAATTTGCAAAAGCAAACTTCCCTGTTTTGTTTTTTTCCAAAGATGATAAATTAGAGGCTTTTAGTATGCCTCGGCCACTTAGAAATAGCAAGAGAGTGCACAAAGGTCAACTCTGTGAGCTCTAAGTCAAGAAGGAAAATGGGAATCCACCAGAATCATGAAGGACATCATAGATCCCAAGAAGGAGAATGTGAGCAAACAGTCAACATGACAGCAACCAGCTTATAAAAGTGAGCGAAGTCCTAGTATGTGAGAGAGGCAGAGAGCCTCCCTCTGTAACTGACATTTTCACTGTGAATCTGAGCAACCCCAGCCAAGTTGTTGCATTTTGTTTCTCCCAAGGCCTGGAGTCAACATGGGGAGAGGCTTGGAGATGCTGTGAAGCAAAGACACTGGGAACAGCTGCAGACATTTTCCCAGACCAGGAAGTAAGAGCAAGATGCCATTTTCAATCTGGATGCATGCAAAGTCAGCTTTTTTTTTTCTTTTTGTGACCCAGCAGAATGCCTGCACAGGCATTTTAGTCTCAGGCCAAAGATTGGAACAACTGCTTTGGGGCTTGGTAGGGACCTTCACAGCCATATTGTGGAAAACACCTCAGCAGTATGTGCTGGAATTGTGCTTTCCCCCATCGCAGCCTCGGGGCAACAGAAAAGCTGCTACAGCTGTAATTTCTCCCAGGTGATGAAACTTGCAGCCAGGGCCAGCTTGGAGACCTACAACCAGTCTGCAGGTGTCATTGCTGGGTGCCCCAGCCTGTTCCCCTGAGAATGTGATACAGCAGGGCTTTCTCTGCTTCACCCCCAGGCAGAAATTCAGGCATTGGAGCACCTGTCTACCTGGACCAGCATCCTGAGCTACCCCACCGTTTATAAACATAGGTTGTGGTGCAGTGGGGCCCTCTCCAGTCTATGGCCAGGCAGATTTCCAGGTATGTGGAGTACCCACTTGACTGGATCAGCAGCCTGAGCTTCCCCAACCTTCCTGTGCTGAGATTATAGTGCAGTGAGGCCCTCTCATCTCCACACATAGGCAGACCTCCAAGCAATTAGAGCACCTGCTCCTATGGAGAACTTAAATTTACAAGAAAAAAAAAAAACATCAAAAATTGGCCAAAGGACATGAACAGACAATTCTCAAAAGAAGACATGGATGTGGCCAACAAACATATGAAAAAAAGCTCAAATCACTGATCATTAGAGAAATGCAACTCAAAACCACAATGAGATACTATCTCAAACCAGTCTTAATGGTGATTATCAAAAACTCCAGAAACAACAGTTGCTGGTAAGGCTGTGGAGAAATAGGAATGTTTTTACACTGTTTGTGGGAATGTAAATTAGTTCATTCACTGTGGAAGGCAGTGTGAAAATTCCTCAAAGATCTAGAACCAGAAATGCCATTTGCCCCAGCAATCCCTTTACTGGATATATGCCCAAAGGAATATAAATCATTCTATTATAAAGATACATGCACAGGGCTGGGTGCAGTGGCTCACACCTGTAATCCCAGCACTTTGGGAGGCCAAGGCGGGTGGATCACCTGAGGACAGGAGTTTGAGACCAGCCTAGCCAACATGGGGAAACTCCATCTCTACTAAAAATAAAAAAATTAGCCAGGTATAGTGGTGCACACCTGTAATACCAGCTACTTTGGAGGCTGAGGCAGGAGAATCGCTGGAACCCAGGAGGCAGAGGTCAAAGTGAGCCAAGATCATACCATTGCACTCCAGCCTGGGCAACAAGAGCAAAACTCCATCTCAAAAAAATATATATATATACATATACATACATATATATACACATATATATACATATATACAGATATTATATATGTAAATGTATATATATGTGTATATATATACACACATATATATACACATATATATACATATTATAACTACATATATATACACACACACATACATATACATGCACACATATGATTATTGCAGCACTATTTACGATAGAAAATACATGGAATCAACCCAAATGCCCATCAATGATATATTGGATAAAGAAAATGTGATATATATTCACCATGGAATACTATGCAGCCGTTAAAATAAATGAGATCATGTTCTTTGCAGGGACATGGATGAAGCTGGAAGCCATCACCCTCAGCAAACTAACACAGGAACAGAAAACCAAACACCACATGTTCTCAGTCGTAAGAGGGAGTTGAACAATGAGAGCAAACACATGGATACATGGAGGGGAACAACACATACCAGGGCCTCTCAGCGGGACAGGGGTAGGAGACCATCAAGACAAACACGTGGATACATGGAGGGGAACAACACACACCAGGGCCTCTCAGGGGGACAGGGGGTAGGAGACCATCAAGACAAACACGTGGGTACATGGAGGGGAACAACACACACCAGGGCCTCTCAGGGGGACAGGGGGTAGGAGACCATCAGGACAAACACGTGGGTACATGGAGGGGAACAACACACACCAGGGCCTCTCAGGGGGACAGGGGGTAGGAGACCATCAGGACAAACACGTGGGTACATGGAGGGGAACAACACACACCAGGACCTCTCAGGGGGACAGGGGGTAGGAGACCATCAGGACAAACACATGGATACATGGAGGGGAACAACACACACCAGGACCTCTCAGCGGGACAGGGGGTAGGAGACCATCAGGACAAACACGTGGGTACATGGAGGGGAACAACACACACCAGGGCCTCTCAGCGGGACAGGGGGTAGGAGACCATCAAGACAAACACGTGGATACATGGAGGGGAACAACACACACCAGGGCCTCTCAGGGGGACGGGGGGTAGGAGACCATCAGGACAAACACGTGGGTACATGGAGGGGAACAACACACACCAGGGCCTCTCAGGGGGACAGGGGGTAGGAGACCATCAAGACAAACACGTGGATACATGGAGGGGAACAACACACACCAGGGCCTCTCAGGGGGACGGGGGGTAGGAGACCATCAGGACAGACACGTGGATACATGGAGGGGAACAACACACACCAGGGCCTCTCAGGGGGACAGGGGGTAGGAGACCATCAGGACAAACACGTGGGTACATGGAGGGGAACAACACACACCAGGGCCTCTCAGGGGGACAGGGGGTAGGAGACCATCAGGACAGACACGTGGATACATGGAGGGGAACAACACACACCAGGGCCTCTCAGGGGGACAGGGGGTAGGAGACCATCAGGACAAACACGTGCGTACATGGAGGGGAACAACACACACCAGGGCCTCTCAGGGGGACAGGGGGTAGGAGACCATCAAGACAAACACGTGGATACATGGAGGGGAACAACACACACCAGGGCCTCTCAGGGGGACAGGGGGTAGGAGACCATCAGGACAAACACGTGGATACATGGAGGGGAACAACACACACCAGGGCCTCTCAGCGGGACAGGGGGTAGGAGACCATCAAGACAAACACGTGGATACATGGAGGGGAACAACACACACCAGGGCCTCTCAGGGGGACAGGGGGTAGGAGACCATCAGGACAAACACGTGGATACATGGAGGGGAACAACACACACCAGGGCCTCTCAGGGGGACGGGGGGTAGGAGACCATCAGGACAAACACGTGGATACATGGAGGGGAACAACACACACCAGGGCCTCTCAGGGGGACAGGGGGTAGGAGACCATCAGGACAAACACATGGATACATGGAGGGGAACAACACACACCAGGGCCTCTCAGGGGGACAGGGGGTAGGAGACCATCAGGACAAACACATGGATACATGGAGGGGAACAACACACACCAGGGCCTCTCAGGGGGACAGGGGGTAGGAGACCATCAGGACAAACACGTGGATACATGGAGGGGAACAACACACACCAGGGCCTCTCAGGGGGACAGGGGGTAGGAGACCATCAGGACAAACACGTGGATACATGGAGGGGAACAACACACACCAGGACCTCTCAGGGGGACAGGGGGTAGGAGACCATCAGGACAAACACGTGGGTACATGGAGGGGAACAACACACACCAGGGCCTCTCAGCGGGACAGGGGGTAGGAGACCATCAGGACAAACATGTGGATACATGGAGGGGAACAACACACACCAGGGCCTCTCAGGGGGACAGGGGGTAGGAGAGCATCAGGACAAACACGTGGGTACATGGAGGGGAACAACACACACCAGGGCCTCTCAGGGGGACAGGGGGTAGGAGAGCATCAGGACAAACACGTGGGTACATGGAGGGGAACAACACACACCAGGGCCTCTCAGGGGGACGGGGGGTAGGAGACCATCAGGACAAACACGTGGATACATGGAGGGGAACAACACACACCAGGGCCTCTCAGGGGGACAGGGGGTAGGAGACCATCAGGACAAACACGTGGGTACATGGAGGGGAACAACACACACCCGGGCCTCTCAGGGGGACAGGGGGTAGGAGACCATCAGGACAAACACGTGGGTACATGGAGGGGAACAACACACACCAGGGCCTCTCAGGGGGACAGGGGGTAGGAGACCATCAGGACAAATAGCTAATGCATGCAGGGCCTCATACCTAGGTGATGGGTTGATGGGTGCAGCAAACCA
The DNA here is from genome assembly GCF_000001405.40 of Homo sapiens. Lineage (NCBI taxonomy): Eukaryota > Metazoa > Chordata > Mammalia > Primates > Hominidae > Homo > Homo sapiens. The sequence continues at coordinate 181,383,934 of NC_000005.10, read as the reverse complement.
CCATGGCACACATTTACCTATGTATCAACCTATACTTTCTGCACGTGTATCCCAGAACATAAAATAAAATTTAAAAAATATATACACTGATTCATGATCTCCTTTCTCTCCTTCTGAAACACTCTTTAAAACTTTTTAGCATTTCCCCCTCTGTCTTCCATGTCTCCTAACTACATGTTTCTTATTTTCCATTTCCTTATTCCTGTGTTCATTTTGGATAGCCCCTTCTGACCTATATTACAGTTTACTAGTTCACTCTTCAACTGCTTCTAACATACTAATATTCTGTTAAAACCATTCATTTGGGTTTAAATTTCAATTATGTTATTCTCTATGGACATTCTATTTGTTTTCTTTTAATCTTCTTGGCCATTCTCTAGAGTTTCCTGTTCCATTATGATATTTTTAATTTTTTGTTTTACTTTAAACATACTAAATATAGTTATTTTATTTTCTGTATCTGATACTTTCAATAACTGCAGTCTTCGCTAGTCTTTTTTCTGTGCTCTTGCTCATAGTTTTTTTCGTTTGTTTTCATGATTAGAAAAACAGAGAGAGAAGAAGGAGAGTAAAGGGAGGAGGAGGAGGAGGAGAAAAGAAGAAAGCAGAGAAGAAGGGACAGAGAAAAAAAGGAAGTTGGTTCTAACGTTTCTCTAACAACTGTCTTCAGTGAAACGCTCCCACCTTGTGGATTTTTAGGTTATTGAAATTAACCAGTCTTCTGGGTGCAGCACACCAACATGGCACATGTATACATATGTAACAAACCTGCACTTTGTGCACATGTACCCTAAAACTTAAAGTATAATAAAAAATAAAATAAAAAGCTACACAAATTAAAAAAAAAAGAAATCAACCTAATTCCTAGATTACCACCTCTTGATTCAAATGCTTTAAATCTAGGCTTTTCATCTGAGTCTTTCTTTTTAGTTATTCTGTTTATCTTCAAAACACTCCTGCTTTGAATCATTCAAAATCTACCTCCCTCCCTCTGTTTGACTACCATCAATTTTTTTGCTCATTCCTAATGCATTAATCTATTAGCTGTGAATATCCAAAAACCCTCATTTCACTGAATCTTTGACAGACCCCTTTGCATCCTCTTGTTCTTCTAATTATTTCCTCAGACACTTTATGTTCTCTTTTCTTTACAAGCATGCCATAGTTTATATACAATGTGTGTATTGTTTTTATATATACCTATATATAGCCTCTTTTTAAAAGCACTGTACACCATGCTTTGAAATATATTCTAAAATCAGGTAGCATGAAAATGGAAACATAACATACTAAAACATATGGGATGCAACAAAAGCAGTTATAAGAGGGACACTTATAGCAATAAATGCCTACATCAAAAAAGAAAAAAAGATCTCAAATAAGCAACCTAATATTATGCCTAAAGGAGCGAGAAAATTAGAGAACAATACAAGCCCAAAGATAGCAGAAGGAAACAAATAACAAAGATCAGAGCAGAAATAATATAATAGAAACTGAAAATTTCAATAAAAATAAGAATTGTTTTTTGAAAAGATAAACAAAATTAACAAATTCTTACATAGACTAAGAAAAAAGAAAACAAACTCAGAAATGAAAGAAGAGACATTAAAACTGATACCACAGAAGTTAAAAAATCATAACATACTACTATAATTAATTATTCACCAGCAAATTAGATAACCTAGAAGAAATTGATAAACTCGTACCAAAACTGAATCATGAAGAATTCAAAATTTAGAACAAATCGTGAATAAGGAAATTAAATCACCAATGAAAGGTCTCTCATAAAAGAAAGACCCAGGATTGAATGGCTCAGTGGCTGGATTCTAACAAACACTTAGATAACTAACACCAATCCTTCTCAAACGCTTCCAGAAACATGAAGAAGAGGAATACTTCCAAATTCATTTTTCAAAACCAGCATTACCCTGATACCAAAACCAGAGAAGGACACTATAATAAAAATAAATTGCAGACCAATACTCCTGATGAACTTAGATGGAAAAACCCTCAGCCAAATATTAGCAAATATTATTTTTAAGAAAACACAGCAAAAAAATTCACCATGCTTAAGTGGGATTCATCCCTGGGAAGCTTATTAGTCTTATTTGATTCGTGTAATCAGAAAATTTCTATGTCTAGTGAAGAGAAATGAGAGCAATAGAGACTCATAGCACCTCAACAAATTTCCAGGCTTGAGCCAGTTAACAAATACAAGTCCTTCAAATACAAAAAGACTGTGAAAGAAAATAGAACAGATCAATGAAACTAAGAATTTGTTCTTTGAAAAGATAAACAAAACTGACAAACCATTAGCTAGACTAGAAAAACGAGAGAATACTCAAAGCAATAAAATCAGAAATGAAAGAGGAAATATTGCAACTAATACCACAGAAATATAGAGGATCATAAGAGGCCACTATAAACAATTACAAGCCAACAAATTGGATAACCTAGAAAAAGCAGATAAATTTCTAGAAAAATGCAACTTACCTAGAGAAAGTCAAGAAGAAAGATAAAATCTGAACAGAACAATACTGAGTATGGAGAGTATATCAATAATAAAACATCTCCCATCAAAGAACATCCCAGGACCAGAAAACTTCATTGCTGAATTCTAACATTTTAAAAAATAATAATACAATCCTTCTGAAATTCTTCCAAAAACTTGAAGGAGAAAGAGTATTTCCAAACTCATTTTAAAAGATCAGCATTATTGTTTTTTTCTTAAAGTGATGTTCCCCTTCCTGTGTCCATGTGTTCTCATTGTCCAATTCCCACCTATGAGTGAGAACATGCACTGTTTGGTTTTTTGTCCTTGTGATAGTTTGCTGAGAATGATGGTTTCCAGCTTCATCCATGTCCCTACAAAGGACATGAACTCATCATTTTTTATGGCTGCATAGTATTCCATGGTGTATATGTGCCACATTTTCTTAATCCAGTCTATCATTGTTGGACATTTGGATTGGTTCCAAGTCTTTGCTATTGTGAATAGTGCTGCAATAAACATACGTGTGCATGTGTCTTTATAGCAGCATGATTTATAATCCTTTGGGTATATACCCAGTAATGGGATGGCTGGGTCAAATGGTATTTCTAGTTCTAGATCCCTAAGAAATCGCCACACTGACTTCCACAATGGTTGAACTAGTTTACAGTCCCACCAACAGTGTAAAAATGTTCCTATTTCTCCACATCCTCTCCAGCACCTGTTGTTTCCTGACTTTTTAATGATGGCCATTCTAACTGGTGTGAGATGGTATCTCATTGTGGTTTTGATTTGCACTTCTCTGATGGCCAGTGATGATGAGCATTTTTTCATGTGTTTTTTGGCTGCATAGATGTCTTCTTTTGAGAAGTGTCTGTTCATATCCTTTGCCCACTTTTTGATGGGGTTGTTTGTTTTTTTCTTGTAAATTTGTTTGGGTTCATTGTAGATTCCGGATATTAGCACTGGGGCCTGTTGTGGGGTGGGGGGAGGGGGGAGGGATAGCATTAGGAGATACACCTAATGTTAAATGATGAGTTAATGGGTGTAGCACACCAGCATGGCACATGTATACATATGTAACTAACCTGCACGTTGTGCACATGTACCCTAAAACTTAAAGTATAATTTAAAAAATAAATAAATAAAAATAAAAATAAAAAGGCAAACAAGGACACTATAAGAAAAGTATGGGCCAACCAATATCCCTGATGAACATAGATACAAAAGTCCTCAAAATAAGTACTAGCAAACAGAATTTAACAACATATTAGGAGAACATTTACCATGATAAAGTGGATTTATCCTCCAGATGTTTCAGCAAACACAAATCAAATGTGATAAACCACATTAACAGAATGAAGGATAAAAAAATAGCTATCTCTATATATGCAGAAAAAGCATTTGACTAAATTCAAAATCCTCTCATGACAAAACCTCTCAACAAATTGGGCGTAGAAGGCATGTACCTTAACACAAAACAGGACATATATAACAAGCTCACAGCTCACATCATACCCAACAATGAAAAAGTGAAATCTTTTCTGCTAAGATCAAGAACAAGACAAGGATATTTATTCTCACTACTTCTATTCAACTTATTTCTGGAAGTCCTAGCCAGAGCAATTAAGCCAAATAAAGAAATAAAAGATATTCAAATTGAAAAGGAAGAAGTAAAATTGTCTCTGTTTGATGACATATTATATATAGGAAACCCTAAAAACTCCACCAAAAAGCTATTAGAAATGATAAATGAATTCAATAAAATTGCAGAATTCAAAATCAATATACAAAACTCAGTAGTTTCTTTACACTCACAACAAACTATATGACAAAAATAAAGAAATCAATCTCATTCACAGTAGCATCAAAAAAACTGTATTTTTTTTGTTTAGGAGCACATTTAGGATTGTACTTAGGAGTACATTTAACCAAGGAGGTGAAAGATCTGTATTCTGAACACTATAAAACATTGATGAAAAATTGTAGATGACACAAATACATGGAAAGATATTTTATGTTCATGGGTAGGAAGAATTAATATTCTTAAAATGTCCTTACTGCCCAAAGCGATTTATAGGTTTAATGCAACATTTATCAAAATTTCAATGTCATTCTTCACAGAAATAGAAAAAACAATTTGAAAATTTATATGGAACCACAAAGGACCCTGAATAACTAAAGCACTCTTGAGCAATAAGAACAAAGCTGAAGGCCTCACAATCTGACTTCAAAACGTATTACAGGAAAAGAACAAAAGAAGGAAGAAGAGGGTAGAGGAGAAGTGCAGCAAGGGTGGAGGGAGGTGCCCGCGCTGGGTCGGAGGAGCAGGAGGAGTAAGGAGGGAAGACTCCTGGGTGGCATGGAGCTCTTGCACCTCTAGGCACTGCCCAGCCCTGTGTCAGCCAGGGCTGAACCCCCACAGGATAAGGAAGCCTGTGTGTGTACCAACAATCAAAGCTACATCTGTGACACAACAGGACACTGCTATGGGCAGTCTCAGTGTTGTAACTACTACTATGAACATTGGTGGTTCTGGCTCGCGTGGACCATCACCATCATCCTGAGCTGCTGCTGTGTCTGCCACCACAGCCAAGCCAGCCCTCAAGTCCAGCAGTAGCAACATGAAATCAACCTGCCTGCCTATCCAGAAGCCCGCAATTACTCAGTGCTACCATTTTATTTCACCAAACTATTTATTACCTTCTTATGAGGAAGTGGTGAACTAACCTCCACCTGTTTCCCTCCCTGTCTGTCCATTGTGGATGAGCTCTGAGCCCTGTTTTCCTGTGAAGATTCTTTGAATTGCGGCCATTCTATTCACATGAACTCTCACATCTGGAGCACAGATGGCCCTCTCAAGGTAATTTATTGTATGCATTGACTGTTTACCAAACAAATGTCTTACTATGTACTCAGGTATATTCAGCAGCATTGTCGACTGCAGTCCCCTATGCTTGCCAGAAGATACTGTATTCAAAGTAGAAGTTTCACAGTGATGAGTAATCACTGCAATTTTCCCATTGCTCCATGGACTCTCGGAGGCCGGTGTTCTGTTCCCTGTAAATAGAGATGTACTCTGAACCTTTCTGCCTCCCTCAGCTGTTCCTAGTCCTTGGTATCAGCCCCTGGAGATGTCCACAACCACTTAGGACAAAAGGCAAAAGTGGAATTTCAGACAAAACTTTGATAGGATCTTCAGTGATAAACTTGGACTAACTGTGGCCCAGGTATCAGCACTCCCAAGAATTGCCAGGAGGAAGCTTTGGCAGACACCACAGGTATGGCAAGGCCTATCTCCCTCTGCTGAATCCAACAGGGGCAAGCAAGCTGGCATGTGGCTTGAGGTGACCCGAATATGTCAGCACCCCTCAGATGTCTTTCTTTGCACTTTTAAAAAAAATCTCAGAATTTGCTGGCAACATGGCCAAATAGGAACAGCTCCAGTCTGCAGCTCCCAGTGAGATCAATGCAGAATGCAGGTGATTTCTGCATTTCCAACTGAGGTACCTGGTTCATCTCACTGGGACTGGTTGGACAGTGGGTGCAGCGCACGGAGGGTGAGCCAAAGCAGAATGGGGTGTCGCCTCACCCGGGAAGTGCAAGGGGTTGGGGGAATTCCCTCCCCTAGCCAAGGGAAGCCCCGAGGGACTGTACCATGAGGAACGGTGCACTCCACCCAGAAACTATGCTTTTCTCACGGTCTTCACAATCCACAGACCAGGAGATTCCCTCCAGTGCCTCTGCCACCAAGGCCCTAGGTTTCAAGCACAAAACTAGGCAGCTGTTTGGGCAGACACCGAGCTAGCTGCAGGAGTTTTTTTTTTTTTTTCATGCCACAATGGCAACTGGAATGCCAACAAGACAGAACCATTCTCTCTCCTGGAAAGGGGGCTGAAGCCAGGGAGCCAAGTGGTCTGGCTCGGCGGGTCCCACCCATACAGAGCCCAGCAAGCTAAGATCCACTGGCTTGAAATTCTTGCACAGCAGTCTGAGGTTGACCTAGGACACTCGAGCTTGGTGGCGGGAGGGGCTTCCACATTGCCAAGGCTTGAGTAGGCAGTTTTACCCCCACAGTGTAAACAAAGCCACCAGAAAGTTTGAACTGGGTGGAGCCCACCACAACTCAGCAAGGCCACAGCAGCCAGACTGCCTCTCTAGATTTCTCCTCTCTGGGCAAGGCATCTCTGAAAAAAGGGCAGCAGCCCCAGTCAGAGACCTATAGATAAAACCCCCATCTCCCTGGAACAGAGCACCTAGGGGAAAGGGCGCCTGTGGGCACAGCTTCAGCAGACTTAAAGCATCTTTGAAAAGCCTGATGGCTCTGAAGAGAGCAGCAGATCTCCCAGCACAGTATTCGAGCTCTGATAAGGGTCAGACTGCCTCCTCAAGTGGGTCCCTAACCCCCGTGTATCCTGACTGGGAGACACCTCCCAGTAGGTGCCAACAGGCACCTCATACAGGAGAGCTCTGGCTGGCATCTGGTGGGTGCCCCTCTTGGACAAAACTTCCAGAGGAAGAAACAGGCAGCAATCTTTGCTGTTCTCCAGCCTCCGCTGGTGATGCCCAGGCAAACAGGGTCTAGAGTAGACCTAGGGCAAACACCAACAGACCTGCAGCAGAGGGGCCTGACTGTTAGAAGGAAAACTAACAAACAAAAAGGAATAGCATCAACATCAACAAAAAGGACAGCCACTCAGTGACCTCATCAGAAGGTTACCAACATCAGAAACCACAGGTAGATAAATCCATGAAGATGGAGAGAAACCAGAGCAAAAAGGCTGAAAATTCCAAAAACCAGAACGCCTCTTCTCCTCCAAAGGATCACAACTCCTCACCAGCAAGGGAACAAAAGAAAACTGGACGGAGAATGAGTTTGATGAATTGAGAGAAGTAGGTTTCAGAAGGTAGGTAATAACAAACTCCTCCAAGCTAAAGGAGCATGTCCTAACCCAATGTAAGGAAGCTAAGGACCTGGAAAAAAGGCTAGACCAATTGCTAACTAGAATAACCAGTTTAGAGAAGAACATAAATGACCTGATGGAGCTGAAAAACATGCCATGAGAACTTCATGCAGCATGCACAAGGATCAAGCACTGATTCGATCAAGCGGAAGAAAGATATCAGAGACTGAATATCAACTTAATGAAATAAATCAAGAAGACAAGATTAGAGAAAAAAGAATGAAAAGAAATGAACAAAGCCTCCAAGAAATATGGGACTATGTGAAACGACCAAATCTACGTTTGATTGCTGTACCTGAAAGTGATGGGGAGAATGGAACCAAGTTAGAAAACACTCTTCAGGATATTATCCAGGAGAACTTCCCTAACCTAGCAAGGCAGGCCAATATTCAAATTCAGAAATACGGAGAACATCACAAAGACACTCCTCAAGAAAAGCAACCCCAAGACACATAGTCATCAGATTGAGCAAGGTTGAAATGAAGGAAAAAATGTTAAGGGCAGCCAGAGAGAAAGGTCAGGTTACCCACAAAGGGAAGCCCATCAGACTAACAGCAGATCTATCAGCAGAAATTCTACAAGCCAGAAGAGAATGGGGGCCAATATTCAACATTCTTAAAGAAAAGAATTTTCCACCCAGGATTTCATATCCAGCCAAACTAAGCTTCATAAGTGAAGGAGAAATAAAATCTTTACAGACAAGCAAATGCTGAGAGATTTTGTCACCACCAGGCCTGCCTTAAAGGAGCTCCTGAAGGAAGCACTAAACATGGAAAGGAACAACTGGTATCAGCCACTGCAAAAACATACCAAATTGTAAAGACCATTGACACTATGAAGAAACTGCATTAACTAACAGCAAAATAACCAGCTAGCATCGTAATGACAGGATCAAATTCACACATAACAATATCAACCTTAAATGTAAATGGGCTAAATGCTCCAATTAAAAAACACAGACTGGCAAATTGGCTAAAGAGTCAAGACCCATCAGTGTTCTGTATTCAGGAGACCCATCTCACGTGCAAAGACACAAATAGGCTCAAAATAAAGGGATGGAGGAATACTTACCAAGCAAATGGAAGGCAAAAAAAAGCAGGGGTCGCAATCCTAGTCTCTGATAAAACAGACTTTAAACCAACAAAGATCAAAAGAGACAAATAAGGGCATTGCATAATGGTAAAAGGATCAATGCAACAAGAAGAGCTAATTATCCTAAATATATATGCACCCAATACAGGAGCACCCAGATGCATAAAGTAAGCTCTTAGAGACTTAAAAAGAGACTTAGACCCTCACACAATAATAGTGGGAGACTTTAACATCCCACTGTCAATACTAGACAGATCAACGAAACAGAAAGTTAACAAGGATATCCAGGACTTGAACTCAGCTCTGGACCAAGTGGATCCAATAGACAGCTACAGAACTCTCCACCCCAAATCAACAGAATATACATTCTTCTCAGCACCACATTGCACTTATTCTAAAATTGACCACATATTTGGAAGTAAAACACTCCTCAGCAAATGCAAAAAAAAATGGGAATCATAACAGTCTCTCAGATCGCAGTGCAATTAAATTAGAACTCAGGATTAAGAAACTGACTCAAACCCACACAACTACATGTAAACTGAACAACCTGCTCCTGAACAACTACTGGGTAAATAAAGATATTAAGGCAGAAATAAATAAGTTATTTGAAACCAATGAGAACAAAGACATAACATACCAGAATCTCTGGTACACAATTATAGCAGTGTGTAGAGGGAAATTTATAGCACTAAATGCCCACAAGAGAAAGCAGGAAAGATCTAAAATTGACACCCTAACATCTCAATTAGAAGAACTCAAGAGGCAGGAGCATACAAAAAGCTAGCAGAGGACAATAAATAACTAAGATCAGAGCAGAACTGAAGGAGATAGAGACACAAAAAAACCTTCAAAAAAAATCAATGAATCCAGGAGCTGGTTTTTTGAAAATATCAATAAAATAGATAGACCACTAGCCAGACTCATAAAGAAGAAAACAGAGAAGAATCAAACAGATGCAATAAAAAATGATAAAGGAGATACCACCACTGATCCCACAGAAATACAAACTACTATCAGAGAATACTATAAACACCTCTACACAAACTAGAAAATCTAGAAGAAATGGACAAATTCCTGGACACATACACCCTCCCAAGACTAAACCAGGAAGAAGTTGAATCCCTGAATAGACCAATAACAAGGTCTGAAATTGTGGCAGAATTAATAGCCTACCAACCAAAAAACAGTCCAGGACCAGATGGATTCACAGCCGAATTCTACCAGAGGTACAAAGAGGAGCTGGTACCATTCCTTCTGAAACTATTCCAAACAACAGAAAAAGAGGGAATCCTCCCTAACTCATTTTATGAGGCCAGAATAATTCTGGTACCAAAATTTGGCAGAGACACAACAAAAAAAAAGAAAATTTCAAGCCAATATCCCTGATGAACATCGATGCAAGAATCCTCAATAAAATACTGGCAAACCAAATCCAGCAGCACATCAAAAGCTTGTCCACCACAATCAAGTCGGCTTCATCCCTGGGATACAAGGCTAGTTCAACATACGCAAATCAATAAACATAATTCATCATATAAATAGAACCAATGGCAAAAACCACATGCTTCTCTCAATAGATGCAGAAAAGGCCTTCGAAAAAATTCAACAGCCCTTCATGCTAAAAACTCTCAATAAACTAGGTACTGATGGAACATATCTCAAAATAATAATACCTATTTATGAAAAACCCACAGCCAATACTGAATGGTGAAAAACTGGAAGCATTCCCTTTGAAAACCAGCACAAGACAAGGATGCCCTATCTCACCACTCCTATTCAACGTAGTATTGGAAGTTCTGGCCAGGGCAATCAGGCAAGAGAAAGAAATTGTCTCTGTTTGCAGATGACATGATTGTGTATTTAGAAAACCCCATGGTCTCAGCCCAAAATCTTCTTAAGCTAATAAGCAACTTCAGAAAAGTCTCAGGATACAAAATCAATGTGCAAAAATCAAGCATTCCTATATGCAAAAAACAGACAAACAGAGAGCCAAATCATGAGTGAACTCTCCCATTCACAATTGCTACTAAGAGAATAAAATACCTAGGAATCCAACTTACAAGGGATGTGAAGGACCTCTTCAAGGAGAACTACAAACCACTGCTCAAGGAAATAAGAGAGGACACAAACAAATGGAAAAACATTCCATGCTCATGGATAGGAAGAATCAATATCATGAAAATGGACATACTGCCCAAAGTTTTTATAGACTCAATGCTGTCCCCATCAAGCTACCACTGACTTTGTTCACAGAATTGGAAAAAACTACTTTAAATTTCATATGGAACCAAAAATGAGCCCGCAGAGCTAGGACAGTCCTAAGCAAGTAGAACAAATCTGGAGGCATCACGCTGTCTGACTTCGAACTATACTACAAGTCTTCAGTAACCAAAACAGCATGGTACTGGTACCAAAACAGATATGTAGACCAATGGAACAGAACAGAGGCCTCAGAAATAACACCACACATCTACAACTATCTGATCTTTGACAAACCTGACAAAAACAAGCAATGGGGAAACGATTCCCTTTTTAATAAATGGTGTTGGGAAAACCGGCTAGCCATATGCAGAAAACTGAAACTGGATCCCTTTCTTACACTTTACACAAAAATTAACTCACGATGTATTAAAGACTTAAACATAAGATCTAAAACCATAAAAAACCCTAGAAGAAAACCTAGGCAATACCATTCAGTACATAGGCATGGACAAAAACTTCATGACTAAAACACCAAAAGCAATGGCAACAAAAGCCAAAATTGACAAATGGGATCTAATTAAACTAAAGAGCTCCTGCACAGCAAAAGAAACTATCATCAGAGTGAACAGGCAACCTACAGAATGGGTGAAAATTTTTGCAATCTATCCATCTGACAAAGGGCTAATATCCAGAATCTACAAAGAACTTAAACAATTTACAAGAAAATAACAAACAAACCCATCAGTGGGTGAAGGATATGAACTGACATTTCTCTAAAGAAGACATTTATGCAGCCAACAAACATATGAAAAAAAGCTCATCATCACTGGTCATCAGAGAAATGCATATCAATACCACAATGAGATACCATCTCACGCCAGATAGAATGGCGATCATTAAAAAGTCAGGAAACAACAGATGCTGGAAAGGATGTGGAGAAATAAGAATGCTTTTACACTGTTGGTGGGAGTGTAAATTAGTTCAACCATTGTGGAAGACAGTGTGGTGATTCCTCAAGGTTCTAGAACTAGAAATATGATTTGACCCAGTAATTGCATTACTGGGTATATATCCAAAGGATTATAAATCATTCTACTATAAAGACACATGCACACATATGTTTATTGTGGCACTGTTCACAATAGCAAAGACTTGGAACCAACCAAAATGCCCATTCAGTGATAGACTGCATAAAGAAAATGTGGCATATATACACCATGGAATACTATGCAGCCATAAAGAAGGATGAGTTCATATCCTTTTCAGGGACATGGATTAAGCTGGAAACCATCATTCTCAGCAAACTAATCCAAGAACAGAAAACCAAACACCCGATGTTCTCACTCATAAATGAGAGTTGAACAATGAGAACACATGGACAGAGGGAGGGGAACACAACACACCGGGGCCTGTCTGGGGGTAGGGGCTGGGGGAAGGTTAGCATTGGGTTAAATACCTAATGTAGATGATGGGTTGATGGGTGCAGCAAACCACCATGGCACGTGTATACCTATGTAACAATCCTGCATGTTCTGCATATGTACCCCAGAACTTAAAATATAATTTAAAAAAAAATCTCAAACAACTCACTGAAGTGTCTCAAAGCTGAACAAGTTTTACCAAAATGAATCCTTCTCAGTTAACTGATCAAATGGATGAATCCTGACCCTCTGAAGTCTCTTTCCTGAGTTAGAGCAGGGAACTGCTCTGAGTGTTAACTGTTGGATTCACTGCAGTGTTCTACAATATTTTACAAGAAGATGAACAGGCAACCTGCAGACCTAAGCTTGATTCCCAAGTCACAGTCTGACCCCTGCTACAGGAGGTTACCCTCCTCAGGAAGAGATAGAAATAGGGAATTTGAAGGAATAGTGAGGGGACCAGGGAGATTTGATTGAGTCTGGTTTCCAGGTGAATTAAAAGGAAGGGTGTCATCCAGGGTTTGTTACTACAGTCAAAAGAATAAATAAATCAATGAAGAAATACCTTCATTGTCTGTGGTTTTCATGCAGATATACTCATGGAGGTTGTATCTCTCCAAAAACAGACAAATCCAAGGCTGTGAACAAGCATCCGCATTTGAATTCCATTAAACCAAAATCTATGTTGAACGAAGTGAAGTCTGTACACAGCATTGCAAATGTGAACACATTCCTGTGTGAGGCACATCACCATTTGTCAGTTATTGTGAATATGTGTATTTTTAAGCAATAAGATGCAGCTGGTCAGTTTTCTGGGCAATCTTGGTGAGGCATTTCCTGTGCTGTGGTTGTTCTCTAACCACTGTGAGAAACCCAAATAAAAATCGATCCCCCCCAAAACAAGTACATATCACAAAACCATAGTAATCAAAACAATATGACACTTGCACAAAAACAGACACATTGACCAGGGGAACAGAATAAGGAGCCCAGAAATAAACTCATGCATTTATGACCAATAAATTTTTGACAAAGGTGCCCAGAAAACGTAATGAAGAATAGACATTTGTTTCAATAAATGGTGTTAAGAAAACTAGATATCCACATGCAGAAGAACACGAATGTGTATGGTGTGTATCCTTATCTCACACCATACACAAAAATCAATTCAAAATGGATTAAAGGTTTAAACATAAAACTGTAAAACTACTAGATGAAAACATAGGGGAAAAGTTCCACAATGTTGGTTTGGTCAAAGATTTCTTGGATATCACCCCCAAAGCACAGGCAACAAAAGCAAAAATATATGGGATTGCATCAAACTAAAAAGCTTCTGCACAGCAAAGGAAACAATATGGTGAAGAGACAACCTACAAGTTGTGAGAAAATATTTGCAGAGCATACATCTGATGAAAGGCTAATCTCCAAATATATAAGGGACTCAACTCAATATCAAGAAAACAAATAACCAAGTCAAAAAATGGGCAAGGTCCTAAATAGACATTTCTCAAAAAAAATACAAATGACTAACATAAAAAAAGTTTGTCATCCTAATTATCAGGGAAATGCAAATTAAAATGACAGTGAGATGCCACTTCATACCTGTTAGAATGGCTACTATCAAAATGATAAAAGATAACAAGTGTTGAAGAGGATACAGAGAAAAGGGAACCCTCGTACACTGTTGGTGGAAATGTAAATTAATACTATTATGAAAAATAGATAAAAGTTACTCAAAAAACTAAAACTAGAATTACTATATGATCCAGCAATCCCACTTCCTTGTATATATCCAAAGGAATTTAAGTCAATATGCTGAAGAGATATCTCCAGGCTCATGTTCATTGCAGCATTATTCACAATACCCAAATATGAAATCAACACAGGTGTCTATCAACTGACAAATGGATGAAGAAAATGTAGTGTATATATACAATGGAATACTACTCAGCCTTAATAGGAAGGAAAACCTGATATATGTGACAACATGAATTAACCCAGAAGATATCACGCTAAGTGAAATAAGCCAGGCACGAAAAGACAAATATCACATGATCTCACTGATATGTGGAATCTAAAAAAGTTGAATTCATAGAAGTAGAGAATGGAATGGTGATTATCAGAGGCTAGTAGTTGGGGGTAGACATGGAAAAGGTAGATGTTGATAAAAGGGTTCAAAGTTTCAGTTAGACAAAGTTTCAGTGAACTATTGCACAGAATGGTGACTGTAATAAATAACAAGGTATTGTATGTTTCAAAATGACTAACAGAGTAGATTTTAAATGTTTTCACCACAAAAAAGATATGTATGTCAATAAGATAGACCTAATCTTTCCACAATTTAAACATGTATCAAAACATTACATTGTACCCCATAAATAGATACAATTATTATTTGTCAATTTAAAATTTTTCACTAATTTATATTGTTATTGTTGCACCAACTCCTTTCCACCAGGCAGATTCTCATAAAGACTATTTTCTCTTTTACATGAAGCATTTCCTACACACCTCTTAATCACGGTAGCATTGACGTCATTCCACCAGATTCTATCTCCAGTGTTAAAATAATCAAGAACCCAGAAATCTCCACCAGGGGGCAACCAATGCGTATCAAAGTTTCCCACTTTCCTTTAGATTTACTTATGGGTAACTTATGGGAAAAAATACTTAAGTACTTCCCTTTTTAAAGAAAAAAATTATATGAATTCTACAAAATTATGGCAGAAAATTTAAGAAGAGCAGATGCTTCCCAACTCATTCTAAAGGGCCAGCATTACCCTGATTCTGAAACGAAAAAGCTTTACAAAATCCAAGATCCATTCCTGACTAAAGATAAAAGAAATTTTCAGCAAACTGTGAATACAGAAAACTTTCTCAGCCTGTTAAAGAGTACCTATGAAAAAAATTATAGCTAACATTATACTTAATGATGAAATATTTAATATATTTCATAACAGGAACAAGTCAAAGATGTCTACTCTAACTAATTCTACTCAGCATTCAACAAAATGAATATAGTGAATTCATACTAGAATTTTAAAAGCAAATGTCTTTATTCACTGACAACATAATCATCTATAAAGAAAATCCTACATAACCTATAAAAAACTGATGGAACTTATAAGTTTTGCAAGTTTACAGGATATAATGTCAAACAAAGATCTATTATGTGCCCATAAGCTAAGAATAAACAATTGTAAATTGAAATAAAAATGTCACTTAAAAGGGCATCAGAAATATAAAACTTAGAGATAAATATAAAGTACATATGCATAAAGTACCTGTTCACCAAAAACTACAAAACATTGCTGAAAGAAATTAAATGGGCATAATATAGATGTAGAGATGTGTTGAATTTATGACTCATTTTGAACAAGGAATATATTCATCATATATTCATCAGATAAGAATTATGTTACAGGTCTAATAACATTCAAATCAATACATAATGTCTCATAGTTCCTGAATCTAAAATATCAAAGAAAGAAACATAAAGCCATATCATGTTTAATGAGAAGGGCTTATTATATCATTTATGAGATCCTCTTGTAAATCACTAGCTGTTTGCATACTCTCTTTATTGCTGCCTTCATCTCCTTATTCCTGAATGTATAGACAACTGGATTCAGAAAAGGAGTGAGAACTGCATCAAAAATAGCCAGAAACTTGTCCATCTGTGAATTAGGGTGTGGCCGTGTATACACAAACATGGGTGGACCAAAGAACAAAAGGACCACTGTGCTGTGAGCTGAAAGAGTGGAAAGGGCCTTGGATGAACCACCTGAGGAATGTTTCCAAACAGTAAACAGGATGAAGACGTAGGAGATTAGAAGTATGAAGAAAGTACCCACACAGATAAACCCACTGTTAACAGTGACCATGAACTGCAATCTGTAGGTGTCGGTACAGGCTAGTCTGAGAAGCCGAGGAAGGTCACAGTAGAAGCTGTCCAACACATTAGGGCCACAGAAGGCTAAATTAACAAGAAATGCCAGTTGGAACAGGGAGTGACTGACACCAAGGGTCCAGGCAACAGCCAGAAATGAAAGGCACATTCTTGGGCTCATAATGGTCAGATAGTGGAGGGGCTTACATAGGGCCACATATCTGTCAAAGGCCATGGCTATGAGCAGCACCATCTCCACACCACCAACGACGTGGATGAAGAAGATTTGAGCGATGCAGCCTCCAAAGGAGATGACTTTGCGCTTTCTGAACAGGTCATAAATCATCTTGGGAGAAGTGACAGAGCAGGCTCCTAAGTCAATGAAGGAGAGACTGGCCAGTAGAAAGTACATGGGGGAGTGTAAGTGAGGGTCAGTGGTCACAGAAAACACAATGAGGATGTTTCCAGTAATGCTTGCCACATAGAGCACAGAGGAAAACACTAGGAGGAGGAGCTGGATCTCCCATGAATGAGTGAGTCCCAGAAACAAAAACTCAGATACCACTGAGTGATTCTCTCCATCCATTGGTCCAGCCAACTGGGCTGTGGCTAAAATTATGAGAACTAAGAAAATGGGGAGGAAATTGTGATTATGAAGATAATAATATGTACTAAAATCAATATTGCAATGTCACTATGAATAAATAGTATACAGTTATTCTGTTCCTCACATATTAAAAACAAAAAATCAACATAATATTATCACAACATGTGAGCTGCAACCTGATTTAAACCCATCATCAATACTTTCAGTGTAATGTCTGATCTAAAATTAACAGATTAGGTAAGAACAAGATTCCTGACTATCCATGAAATTCATCAGGTGTTTAAATGACCTGTGATATTAACTATTCCTCATTTCCAACATATTCCATTTGTACTTATACATATTCTTATAATTTCCTTCCCTTCCCAGTTTGCACCCACAATTCTCTGACAGAAAGTAGACATAAGAGGAAAACATGATTAACAGATGGATTATCACTGCAGTAAGAGGTGCCTGGGACGGACTTAGTTGAGGTAGGCTGTGGATTGAGAGAATATAGAGACTGGGGTATGTGAAATCGGAAAGCCCACAACTGTAGCAGACTAGAGTAAGTGGACTTTCACAAGAAATAGAATCACCACCATTATCTACCACATTTTCTCATGCTTACTGCTATTTAAGTGCCTCAGTTTCTATACAATCTTTCACAATTATGAAGCCCTAAATGGCTTCCCATCCTGCAATGATTTCATAAGGAGCCTATGCCACCTGTCATGTAAGGCTTTTTCCATGCCTAATAAATATGTTTTGGAGGGATTTCACCAGTGTTTCTGCTAAGATACATGCATAAAATGGACACAGAGGTTGTGAGAAATCTCTGCAGTTTCTCTTTGTCTATACACATGAAAGTATTGAAGACCAGCACTTGGATTAGTTAAGATAATGTTTTAATTCATCACTGTCTCCTCCTCCCCTTGGTACCAGCTTTTATGTTCATTGCATTCCCCACCCTTTTAAGTACTCAGTACCTCCTGCATGGTAACCTATTCTGATATTTGATATTATCATGCTTAATTTGACTGAATCCATTCGGATATTTTATCTTTAAGAAATTTGTAGTTTTATACTTTTAATTTATGATAAAATTAGATTAATATCAAACATTAACAAGTGACTTTTAGGAAGGTATATGAGCTTTCTTATTGACTTCAAACTATAAAGTACAAACTGTGACACTAGAAATTTAGTCCTTTAACACATATTGTATTTATATGTGAAGTGGAGGGTGAGCAGAAAACAGTGTTATATTTCTCTGTGTCCAGATGGATACTCACCTCAATCATTTTCCTATAGTAGAAAGTAGTTCCTGAAAACACTTAATAGAGATTATTTTAGAAGTTGCTGAGGTACAAATAAAACTGCTATGCTGACATCATACTTTTTTGCACCAACAACTCCAGTTCTTCTGACACAAAGGACCATCTTCCTAGTGCCATAATTTATCTTAGACCCCAAAACTCACAGAGGCACACATCATATCTCTAATACTTGCTCACCACCACTGGCATGAGTCTCTCTCTATCCTCTTCTACGTGAAGTGATTATACTGTCACCTCTGGAGCTAACTGTCCACAGTCTCAAGATGCACACTTTTTACAACCAGAAGCCTATGGACTGGGTGAGGGAGCAGAAACAGCCACAGGTACTGCCCATCAGGGTAATGTAAGTCAGCATGCAAACAACTGATCAGATGAACATGAATAGCAAGGTGCTGAGGCACTGGGAAGAGGGACCGGAAAACTCTATAATTGTTGAAAAAGACTCAAGCCCTTGGGAAGGGAAATGCCTATGGAATTATATAAAGACCATTTTATCCAAGTTGGTCATCATTCAGATGAAAACCATGAGGCCCAGAAAAGTAAACTGAGTTTCCAGAATTCACACAATTGATAGAATAGGAACCAGAATTCAGGCCTCTTGCTTCCTATTCCAGAAAGACAAATTGCAATAATAATCAAATAATATGAGCAATCATCCAGTAAAAATAATCTGGTAAAAACAGCAAAACTCAAAAGAGTGATTTTTCCTGGTTAAGACCAAAACTAACCATAGATTGCTATACATAGTATCTATTATAAATACTGAATTATATAGCAGCCTGACAATAAATACATAAAATGTGTACACAAAGATTATTGAACCTGTACAATACAGTAGTAAATAGTAACTTTATATTTGCAAAGTGACTGATCATTACTATCAGAATTTGTTTACCCATTCTTCATATTTTGTTGGTCATATAACCAGTTACTACAACTGCAAAAACAACCTAAGGTCATGTTTCTGTGAAGTCCATCCTTTTGGTCTTTAAATTTTATTATCCTCAAAGGTCAATTATGATCTCAATCTTTTCTTGTAATTTTACTGACAATTCTCCTTCACACTGATTAGTTCTTTCTCTAATTCCTGTAAATGGAAAGAACCAAAAAAAGTTGAAAAAACATGTATTGTACATATAACAAACAATCATATGTGGTATACAATATATATCAAATGAGTATTAAGATAAACATTCAAAGAGTTTTAAAGAAAAAAGTGTTATAGATATTGGAGGGCAGAAGATACAATTGCCATTAAGAACAGGTGGAGGAGGTTATGCCAAGGACATTGACCTGACCCTTTAGGAATTAGTGAAAATTGAATAGGAGAAGAATGAGGTACACAATGTGTGAAAAATACCTAAATTGATATAACAGGAGGAGACCTTTTCATATCAATTATCATTACTTCTGTGTATATAACCATATTAGATACCCACAAACAAATAGAAAGTGGATAGTTCTTGATTGACAAGTAAGACTAATAATCCCAGATCATAGTAAGGTCTTAACTTCAAGTCAATAATCTTTATTACTTATGGTTCATTCCTCTCCCTCATGTTTTCCAATAATTTTAAAATGCATAATTAAAACAATTCTCATTTAAAAACATAGTAGCCATGACTAATGATCTTCCAGTGGGAAGGTACTAAGACTTTACAACATGTTTCTTGCTGGGGATAAGACAGCCTACAGCCAGCATTCAACTCATTTTTCTAAAGTCTATGGATCAATTTGAAATACAGAAAAAGCAGAACAGAGATAAAGTTAAAAAAAGATTAAAAATATGGAAAGAATGGGAGAAAGGGGAAATTAGAAGATATGAACAATGATTTAAAAATAAAAGAGCCTCAAAGGAGAAGAGAAACTGCTAAGCAAGACTAAGGTAGGATGAAATACAGTAGTCTCTGTTTCTGAGAACACAGGTTAAAAAGAACATAAATAAAATAAATTTATCACCTTTAATACACTCATTCAAGGATGCTACTGAGTTTGACTCTGGGAATTTCTCACCTTTAACACACTCATTTGGGGATGCTACGGACTTTGACATTGGGTTGCATTTAACGGGGGAGAGAAAGGGCAGTTGCTTCTATTATCGCCCTTTTGGACTCACAGAGTTTCTTTGAAAAGCACAGATGATAATAAATGGAAATATTGCCTTTTATACTATACAATAATATACACATGCAATTCACTGGAAAAAGTATACTTGTTACTATGATTTGAGGATACTACCATATACTAATCAAGAGAAACACATGTACAGAACAAAGAAGGCACATGAAATTTTTACTAGTGTGTGTTTTCCTTGTGTTCTACCACCCCAGGAGCAGCTTCTGCTACTGAAGGTCACAGTAGAGTTATTTCCAAAAGTTGTGGGTCTGCAGGGTGGACTTATCACATAGCTGTTTGCCAAAATTCAAAGTCCAGAAACCATTTCCAAATTTTCACCTCTTTTATCTTCAAATCCTAAAACTATGAAAATTCACAAACTTAGCTCCATACATTATGGTAGAAAGGTTAATAATTTGGACTTTGAGGTTGACCAGGCCTGATTTTTGAATAAATTCACAAACTTACCTCCATACATTATGGTAGAAAGGTCAATAATCTGGACTTTGAGGTCTACCAGGCCTGATTTTTGGATCCAGGCTGCAACACTCACTTGCTGTGTTAACGTAACAAAGTTCCTAGACCATGCTGAGCTTCAGTTTACTTGTTATTGAATTAGGGATATAGCGTTCGAAGGAAGAAGTTCTAGTATTTGATTGCACAGCAGAGAAATTATAGTTATTGAACTGGGGATATGTAGATAGACATAATAAATTTTAGTATTCAATTGTACAATGGAGAAATCATAGGGAACAATAATTTATTATATATTCTAAAATAGCTAGCAGAGAAAAATTATAATGTTCCCAACACAAAGAAAAGATAAATATTCGAGGTGATGAATATCCAAATTACTCTGATTTGATCATTACACATTGTATACATGTATCAAAAATATCACATGTACCCCAAAACATGTACAACTATGATACATCAATAAAAAACAACAAAAAAACCAAAAGAATAGAAATCAAAAATAAATACATAAATACATAAAATAGGGATAATAATACCTCCCTTGCTTGCTTGCTCCCTTGCTCCATTTGTAAGAAATAAGTGATATAATATAGGTAAAAATACTTAACCTCATACCTACCACATAGTATAGCACAATAAACGTTATTTATTATAATCTGAGGCCTACCTACATAAGTGACTTTCAAGTATAGAAAATTATTTCTCAAATTTTAAATACTCCCTGATTCTCAGGTATGGTAATTAGACCTGGCTTTAGGTAAACCTCTCATGTCTACACTTGGATTTAATCACTTAAGTATATTTCCCAGCACCCCCCCCAAAAAAAAATTGCTCCTAGGTGGACACACTAATCAAAGACTTCCTGAGAAATGCAGGAAGAAGTTTTGTCCTCTGACCACGCTACGCCCTTTCCTTGATGGTAAGCCCCATAATCTAAAGCCATAAGTTTCAATTCCTCACATAAAAAGAAAAAAAAATGTCTTTTATGACCACTTCAGATAACACTGGATATTTCCCTTGTCATTAGGAATGAGAAATGGGAGGAAGGTAAACTTGTAGACAGGAGAATTGGTAGATGCTTGAAAGGATTTCTGAAAACTGTGCCTATCCAGGTGTACAAATGTGTTGACCAGCCAAGGCAAAGCAGTCAAACCATACAATACGTTATCCTCAGGAAAATGGACTTTTCTCCCAAATTGCCTTTTTCATGAAAAATATAAAATTCTCCAGTTTCAACCTCATGTTAAATTTCACATGTGAAGAAAACAGTCATGCACATCAGAAAATTAAATGGCGAGTCAAGACCAAATTCCTAGTCACAGTTATGTTCTGTTTCCAGTATTACCTTCTCACTTATTCATTTTGTTAAAGTGGAGCCAAAATAGAAGTGGGTGTCACACATCAAGAAAGACTGAAGTCGTACAAAGCCGATCCTTATCCAACGTGCATTAAAATATGCATCAGGCATGTGTGATGCATATAGTAGAAGTGGAACAAATCAGGCCATGTGCAGTGGCTCACGCCTGTCAGCCCAGCACTTTGGGAGGTCAAAGCAAGCAAATCGCTTGAGATCAGCAGTTTAAGAAGTGTAACAAATCCTCTACAATATAAGTAGAGTGAAAAGAGATAGCTACAGTGATGAGGGAAGGCACTATAGTGATGTGGCATTTGAGTATAGCCATAAAAGAGGATAAATATTACAATACATGAATATAGGGTCTAAAGAAGTCTTTTCAAGTAGATTGCAAAATATTTCAAAAATGGTAAGTTTGGTGTATGTTGAAGCATACAGATTGTCTACATCCTAAAAATCATTTTGGTGAAGAAAGGAAAATAAGAAAGGTAGTCAATATTCATTTGTTGCCTATCATTAGAAACTTCTCAAAGGTATATGAGAATTATTAAATAAATTTAGGGAGCCAGTGAAGGTATGGGTCCCGGGAATTGAGGATGAAGCCAGTAATTAGGGAAGATGCCCCATCTATAAGTGCGATGTATCAAATGGAGGAAAAGAAAAACGGAGGGAAGGAGTTCCCTTAAGAGAAGATTGAAATAGAGCAGACTTGGGGGGCTACACAGAGGAACTGGGACTACACAGTTCCAGCTTTAAGGCTATAGAAACAGAAATAGATATACTGGTAAGTAAAAACCCAAAGGATTGGTGACTTATCACAGCTGGAGTGAATACGAAGGAGCATGAACTCAAAGAAAATATCAAGATTTAAGCAAGAATAAATAGGACAATGGTAGGTCCATTTTTAGAAATTAGAAAGTTGAACATAAAATATGTCAGGGTGGAGAAAATAATCACGTGTATTTTAAGCAAATAAGAGTATTAGATATTGAGATGCTCAGGTGAAAACATATGACAGGATATATGGGGGAAAAGTACAAATTCAACATGTAATTGTATAGTAATCCATATAAAAATAATAGACGGATGTGTAAGAGTGCATAAGGTCCCTGAAGGAAATAATACACAGGAAAAAAAGATTAAAAAGCCAAGACCCAACTATAGAAACTATCCACATTGATTATGTAAAGTAGGAAAAGGAATCAATAAACTAGACAGAACATCACAGAGGTAGGAGGACAAGTGCTGGCCTAGAGGAGACAACACAGAAGCAGGTATCAAGAATAAAGGAGGAGAAGAGAGAACAAAGAGAGAGAGAAGAGAACTTCTGTGGCAGAAGATCAAGTGGGATGGTAGAATAAAGGAGAAGAAATACAAGAAAATTGAAATAAAATTTACAGAAATGTTCTACATTGTAAGTGGGCAGTTTTGACCTGGCACATTGTTGGCACACATTATAAATGTCAAATGTATTAATGAATGAATGAATGGATAATATAATGAATGTGATGGAGTTGTCAAAAGCTGAATTAATTAAAAGTCCCCACGAGAGGTTAGATGACAAAATTTTCAGAAACTTTCCATGCCACTCTGTTGTGACATCAACAGTGCTGGACCCTTGAAATCAAACCAAAAGGATTCCACCATGAGAATGAAAAGGGCTGAGAAGGGGAATGCTGGGTGACACAGAAGGTGACAAAGGGCGAAAGGTTTCTAGGCATTTGATAGACTGATGGACGTCCGCGCTGACCATAAGGCACAGGCCACACAGGAAGGAAAATGAGACCCAACGCGAAGAAAAGTAGGGCTAAACAGTCGGGAAAATGTGGGAAGAAGGATGAATAGTCATACGATCAACTCAGATTCCTCCCTGACATTCTTCTACAGCTTTATTCTCGTCCTTTGGGAGCCGAGATGTTCATTTTCCTACATTCTTAGCTGCCTACACACGGCGACTTTTCTCCACGGTGCCTGATCCCTGCTGCATCCTCCTTCTCTAGTGGCAACAGCAAATGGCCACACAGAAGGCAGACATTGCACCCAACTGAGGAGAATGTAATTCACTCATTGCCAGTCACAGACCTTGGCTCACCGATTTACTAAGTATAGATTTTATTTCTATCCCTCACCTACCTGTTTTGCCAAGGGAACTAAGAAAAGAGCATCATCAAAAATTCAGATAGGTATAGTTCTCACAAGATGAACCAGATCCAGTACGGCATCACTGCAGACATACACACAGAGCTGCATAAAACAGGAAGAGAGCTGCTAATCACAGCCCCAGAGGGTAGTGGCCAAAGTGATGCCTTGGAGATCTGAGAATGCCAGACTGAGATCACACGGCCTGGGGAATTACCGCCTATGGTCATTTTGGTTTTCCCGGGATAGCCAAGCCCAGAAACTGTTAATTGGGTGAAATAAAGCATATTTGATTTTCTTATGACAAAAAAGGCCTTTTGCCATTGTCTACAGATGATACTTTACATCTTTATTTTATGACTAAAGGTGAATTCCAGAGCAACATTAAATGTTGTCCCTTTAAATTTTTAATCATTTACATAACGATTACCATAATATTCAATTTAAACATAAAATGTAATTGAAAGTATGAGATTAATATGTGGACATGAAATCATATAATATTCCATGGAAAAAACAGAATGTATAAGGCAAAGAGGTTTAAAGTAACATCAAAACTAATGCTCACTATACAAATTCTATGAAATCCTCATAATTACACTGTGAAGCAGGTGTTGTTAGAGCCACATAATCTCAAACAAATTATTTATTATCTAAAATTACATAGATATTAAAAGGTTAAGCCATATATGAATTTAGGATTCTCTCAAAAATTTTTTCTCTTCCTCCTACATCAAACTTCCCTAAATTATAGAAAAGTCACAATGTTACCAAACATATTCACAAAACACATATAATCTTGAATCCAAATTTCAGTTACAGCAGAAAAAATAAAACTCTAGATCAATCTCAATCGTGTAAATAAATTCAGATTTCCAATCTAAGAGTCTCAATTTGACATACTTCTTTCTCTCTCTTCTTTCAAACCAGGAGAAATATAAATATGAGCCACAACCTTACAAAAGCTAGAAAATATTTACAATTCCACACAACAACACATGAAGAAAACCTTCTGGACATCAAAAGTTTAAACCAGTCAAGACTGAACACCAAGATAAAGTGCATGCCTCTGAAGAGCTTGAGCTAGTCAAGAAGCCCAGAAATCCCTAAAAGAGGTGTGTATACTGAGGACTGAGGATCAAAACCTGTGATCTTTACTTGGAACAGAAATATTGCAGCATGTGAACCCTCCACAGAGTGACAGAGGGAAAGGAGTTTAAAGGGAAACATGCAAATGTATCACCTTTGGAATAATTAGGACACGTGTGTGGTGTAATGAAAGAAGGCAAAAAGATGGGGAAGAAGCCAGACAGATGGCAATTTTCATTCTATTATGAAAAGAAAAGGATAAGTCACAAGTCACATGATGAAATTAACAACTATGAATCCACTCTAAGCCATAGTCAATCCTATAGCCTAGGAGTCATTCTAACAGATGAGAGTGTTTTGGAGACAAGATTCCAAACTCGTCTGCCTTCCATCATACTTACTACCCCCAGCTCCTCCTCCACAATATCCTTACACAAGTATCTAGAATATTCAAAGACTAATAATATTATATAATTATTTATAATAATTGTATTACAAAAATAAAACATGATGACCTTTATAAAAATACTAGAAGAAAAAGGGAAAATTACATAAGGTACAGAACATACAAATTATACCATGAAGCAGTAAAAAATAGGATCAAATTTTCTATGTTTTTTAAAAATATGCCTTCTCTAAAATGTTTTCTCTCTGAAATGATATTTAGAAGACATAATTGAAAATAAATACAAAATAAAGTGATAAAAAATAATCTGGCAAAATTCAGGATGTAATGAGTAAAGACAACCATGAAAGAAATGAAGATCAATAAAAGCAGGAAAAAAAGTGGGAAGTGGAGAGAATAATGCTGCTAAAAACACAGATAAGAATATAAATGACAGGCTTAAATATATCCTGAGCAAAACAAAATAGAAAACACAAGAAGGTGAAATGTAACATTAAAGTCAGGTCCAACAAATGAGAAATTAGTGTGAAAGAGCTCACAATATCTGGTTAAAAAATTCAAAGATAAAAGAAAACTTTTCTGAAATGAAGAAAACATTGAATCTAATGGTTAAAGGGCTTATCTTTATCCAGAAAAAATATGTTATAGTATGACCACATCAAGGCAGATGCAACTGAATTTACCGGACTTCACAAACACAAAATAAACAACCCACAAAAAAAAAAAAAAAAAATAGAGTCCCCATGAGGCTTTAATGAAGACAACTATTAGAGGCCAGGCGCAGGGGCTAACACCTACAGTCCCAACACTTTGAAAGGCCAAGGCAGGAGAATCACTTGAGCCCAGGAGTTCAAGATAAGACCAGCCTGGGCAACATAGCAAGACCCCATCTCTATCAGAAAAACTTAAAAAAGAAAACTATCCACTAAAAATGAATAGAGATAACATGATACAAGTGAGCATTCTGAAGCCTAATATCAAAATGTTCTGGGGTTTGCGGTTAAAGAACAGAATGTAAATGTTACAAACCATAACTGTATAAGGACTAATTATATTCATAACAAAAATAAGAAGAGAAAGATAGTAGAAATATATTCTGGTCCATTCAACTTTCACAGTGGGAGAGAATCAACAAATTATGTTATGGGTGATTAAATATTATTTTAAAAGATAAAGGTCATTCTTAGAAAAATTAAAAATAACAAAATCAAATAAAGTTGGATGACGAAGGTGGGAGAGGAAAGTGGGTTTAAGGGGTAAAGTGGAACTATATTAAAAGAGTCAATGGAGAGCGCCCTTGGAAATAACACAAAAATTAAAGAACTAAATATAATTTATACAGCACATAACTAAACTATAAATCTTCAAATTAAAAGAAAATAGGTACATACAAAATATCACATAGAGAGAAATATTAATACCATGAAAATATTAAAATAAAAGCATAAAATTAATTCATTTATTTACCCTATTAGTATTTTTTGAACACCTATGTGCCAGGTATTGTGCTGAATGCCAGTAAGATATAGTTCCTGCATCTTGGAGTTTTCGTGGAGGAGACAGAGATTAATCAAACAATCACACAAATGTAAAATTGCAACCATAAAAATTACTCTGAAATACAATGAAAATTACTATAAGAGAGGGATTTGATGTGAGTCAGAGAAGTTTCCCCTAAGAAAGCAACACTGGAGCTGAGATCTAAAGGGTAAACAGCAGTTAACTGAGTGGAGAACAAAGGTTTTCCTGCAGGGGGAACAATCTGCTCCGCGAGGCCAGAGTGGGGCCTTGGGAGTTGTGCCTGAAACCACATTGTGAGGAAGTGAGGGGAAGCATTGTGCAGATAATGCTGAAATAAGTAGTGGAAGATGCTTCCTAAGAGAATGAGAAATCCAAGACTACTAAGCAGAAGAATGATTTGACCAGATTTCACATTTGCAAATATCACTATGGTTACAATGTATAGAATGGATTTTAAGGAATTCAAATTGGATACAGGTGAGTCAATTACAAAGCAACATGCTTGCCAAGGCAAGAAATTTGATTACTTAAACTAGATATGGGAGTTTTGGAAATAAGTAGATAAATTTGTCATATATTTGAGATAATAAATCACCATGACTTGATGGTAGACTTAGTTGGAGATGCCCTCACTAGTGCACCATCTAATGCTTCAAGTCTAATAATTATTCAATTCCTCCAGAGCCACCAATCCAATGGTTCTACCATATTTATGCTGTCATTCACTTTACTGATATCCTTCTTACCTTACCTCTTTTCCCACTTTATATTCCATGATCAATACCTTGCTCCCTCGTAATGATTGTACTCACTCTTCCAAACAACAATCCTGATAAATCCTACTCTCTGCCTTCTACATCTTGATACCACACAGCTATATGTGGCTAGATAAAACAATCACACTGACAATCATCCTATGCTTTCTGAATCCATCACTCTTCTACTTTTTCAGATCTTTTCTTTCTCCCTCATCCTTACCATGTAATGAACTCATTTTGCATGTCAAGGGCTAAAAGTTGAATATTTTAAAAGTTCTCATTTTCCCACTACTATATAAACCAACAAATACCTTTAGTCTGCATTCACAAATAACATAACAAATGAGCTCTTCATATTTCTATCTGTGGTGAATTAAGATGACTAGAAATTTTGTGGCACCATCCTGTTGAAAACGTGGGGACATATTCTTTCTCCTTGAACCTGGGTGGGCTCTTTGACTGCTTTGACCAATAAAATACAGTGAAAGTAAAACTTCCAGTTTTGATGTCCAGATGTTAAAAGCCTTGAAGCTTCCATTTCTACATCTTGGAACCAACGTGTGTGGGGTGCTGAGTCAGTATCGAAGAATTCTGCTTATTCTGCTTGCATTAGTCCATTTTCATGCTGCTGATAAAGACATATCCAAGACCGGGTAATTTATGAATAAAAAGAGTTTCATGGAATCACAGTTCCATGTGGATGGGGAGGCCTCACAATCATGGCAGAAGGTGAAAAGTATGCATTACATGGGAGCAGACAAGAGACAATGAGAGCTGAGTGAAAGGGGAAGCCCCTTGTAAAGTCATCAGCTCTCATGAGACTTATTCACGACCATAAGAACAGTATGGGGGAGCCACCCCATCATTCAATTATCTCTCACCAGGTCCCTCCACAACACATGGGAATTATGGGAGCTACAATTCAAGATGAGATTTGGGAAAGGACACAGCCAAACCACCTCATTCTGCCTCTGGCACCTCCCAAATCTCATGTCCTCACATTTCAAAACCAATCATGCCTTCCCAATAGTCCCCAAAAGTCTTAACTCACTTCAGCATTAACTCAAAAGTTGGCAGTCCAAAGTCTCACCTGAGACAGGGCAAGTCTCTTCCACATATAAACCTGTAAAATCAAAAGCAATTTAGTTATTTTCTAGATAAGATAGGAGTACAGGCATTGGGTAAATGCAGCCGTTCCAAATGGTAAAATTTACCCAAAACAAAGGGACTAAAAGCTCCAAGCAAGTCCGAAATCCAGTGGGACAGTCAAATCTTAAAGCTCCAAAATGATCTCCTTTGACTCTATGTCTCACATCCAGGTCATACTCATGCAAGTGGTGGGTTCCCATGGTCTCAGGCAGCTCCACCCCTGTGGTTTTGCAGGGGAGAGCCTTCCTCCCGGTTGCTTTCACAGGCTGGCATTGTATGCAGCTTTTCCAGGCACACAGTGCAAGCTGTCGGTGGATCTACCATTCCGGGGTCTGGA
This sequence comes from Homo sapiens, assembly GCF_000001405.40. Classification (NCBI taxonomy): domain Eukaryota; kingdom Metazoa; phylum Chordata; class Mammalia; order Primates; family Hominidae; genus Homo; species Homo sapiens. Next base: position 181,354,601 of record NC_000005.10, on the reverse strand, counting down.
GGACAGCAGCCCTCTTCTCATAGCTCCACTAGGCAGTACCCTAGTGGGGACTCTGTGTTGGGGGCTTCAACCCCACATTTCCATTCCCCACTGCCTTAGCAGAGGTTCTCCATGAAGACCACCCCTGCAGCAAACTTCTGTCTGGAGATCCAGGCATTTCCATACATTCTCTGAAATCTAGGTGGAGGTTCCCATACCTCGATTCTGGACTTCCGTGAATCCACAGGCTCAACACCACATGGAAGCTGCCAAAGCTTGAGGCTTGCACCCTCTGAAGCCATGGCCTGAGCTGTGCCTTGACCCCTTTTAGCTGTGGCTGGAGCAGCTGGGACACAGAGCACCAAGTCCCTAGGCTGTACACAGGCAAACAGCAGAGGGGCCCTGGGCCCAGCCTATGAAACCATTTTTTCCTCCTAGGCCTCTGGGTGTGTGATGGAAGGGGCTGCCACAAAGATCTCTGACATGGCCTGAAGACTTAGCGATTAACATTTGGCTCCTTGTTACTTATGCAAATTTCTGCAGCCAGCTTGAATTTCTCCTCAGAAAATGGATTTTTCTTTTCTATCACAGTGTCATGCTACAAATTTTCTGAACGTTTATGCTCTGTTTTCCTGTTAAAACTGAGTGCTTTTAACACACCCAAGTCACTCTTGAATGCTTTGCTGCTTAGAAATTTCTTCTGCCAGATACCCTAACTCATCTCCCTCAAGTTCAAAGTTCCACAAATCTCTAGGGCAGGGACAAAATGCTGCCAGTCTCTCTCGATAGCAAGAGACACCTTTACTGCAGTTCCCAGTGAGTTCCTCATCTCCATCTGAGACCATCTCAGCCTGGATTTCATTGTCTATATCATTATTTGACATTTTAGTCAAAGCCATTCAACAAGTCTCTAGGAAGTTCCAAACTTTCCCACATTTTCCTGTCGTTTTCTGAGCCCTCCAAACTGTTTCAACCCCTGCCTGTTACCCAGTTCCAAAGTCGCTTCCACATTTTTGGGTTATCTTTACAACAGCACCCCACTCTACCAGTACCAATGTACTGTATTAGTCTGTTTTCATGCTGCTGATAAAGACATACCTGAGACTGAGTGATTTATAAAGAAAAAGACACTTAATGGACTCACATTTCCAGGTGGATGGGGAGGCCTCACAATCATGGTGGAAGGCAAAAGGCACATCTCTACATGATGGCAGACAAGACAGAATGAGAGCTGAGTGAAAGGGGAACCCCCTTATAAAATCATCAGCTCTTGTGAGACTTATTCAAGACCACGAGAACAGTGTGGGGGAAATACTCCTGTGATTCAGTTATCTCCCGTTGGATCCCTCCCACAAGACACGGAAATTATGGGAGCTACAATTCAAGATGAGATTTGGGTGGGGACACAGCCAAACCATATTGCTGCTGAATAGATCATGTAGACAGGCTCTCAAACTACACGGAGAGCAAGAGAGGCCCACCTTACCACAACATTTCATCCAATCCACTAATAAAACAGGCACATCACTGAAGCCACCTTCAACTCTCCAGACTACCCAGCTGCCAGCTGAATACCACAGATGGCTACAGTTAATACCACACGGAGCAGAATCATGTAGCTAAGCCCTGCTTGCACTAATACAAGTCCACAATTTTTTTTAAGTTTGTTGTTTTAAGCTGCTAAGTTTTGAGGTGGTTTGTGGTACGTGGAATAAGATGTCACTCTAATATAATATAAACTTAAACTATGTGGCATTGGCTTTGGAATCAGACAATGGATAGAAGCCAGAAGGATTTCACAAAGACTGTTAGTGAAAAGTGAACAGACTTCAAGGAAAATGATAGCAAAACCTGTAAAAGCATTCTGGGAACTGACAGTAAACACTGAATGGTCCTTAAGGAGACTGAAAACTTGAAAGAGCTTAAGAAGTCTACTGGAAAGGGCTTTAAGGATAATGAGAAAAAATCATCAGTGGAGGCTGAGGAAAAGGCACCAAAGTCATATTCTGATGGGAGAGTTAGAAAACGCTTGCCTGGAATGATATAAAAAATAGGAAAAATACCGAAAAAGTTTGTGGATCTGGCTGGGGAGATTTTTGGTGTCAACTAAAGAAAAAAATTAAGCTTTTAAGAAATTAAAGTTAGATTTATTTAGGGGTCTGAGAACAAGAGACTGAGGATTACAGCCTAGGAGAAGTCTTTCAGAGAGGTTCTGTCAGACTGCTCTGGTGAAGGTCTTTAGCCCACAGTTTATATGCAGGCTGTACATATACACCATGGAATACTATGCCGCCATTAAAAAATGATATCATGTCTTTTGCTGGAATGTGGATGGACCTTCTATTATCCTTAGCAAACTAATGCAGGAACAGAAAACCAAATACAGCATACTCTCAGTTATAAGTGGGAGCTAAATGATGAGAACTAATGAACACAAAGAATAAAACAGACACTGGGGTCTACTTGAGGGTGGAGGGTGAGAAAAGGAAGAGAAGCAGAAAAGATAACTATTGGGTACTAGGTTTAATACCTGGATGATGAAATAATCTGTACAATAAACCCCTGTGACACCAGTCTACCTATGTAACAAATGCCCCTAAACTTAAAATAAAAGTTAAAAAAAAAAGAAAATTAAAATCTTCTTATCATCTACCTGGTAATATGAAAAACACAAATCTTTCATTCATTCCTTTCAACTGATGAGGAAAATGAGGCATCGGGAGTTAGTAAAAGTCCACATTGAGATATGAGACCCACCACTGGCTGGACGCAGTGGCTCACACCTGTAATCCCAGCACTTTGGGAGGCCGATGCTGGTGGATCACCTAAGGTCAGGAGTTCGGGACCAGGCTGGCCAACATGGTGAAACCCCCATCTCTACTAAAAATACAAAAATTAGCTGGGTGTGGTGGCAGGCACCTGTAATACCAGCTACTAGGGAGGCTGAGGCAGGAGAATCGCTTGAACCCAGGAGGTGGAGTTTACAGTGAGCCAAAATCACGCCATTGCACTCCAGCCTGGGCAACAAGAGCAAGACTCTGTCGGGGAAAAAAAAAAAAAAAAAACCACCACCATCATTTTGCAAGTGTTACCACTATTGTGTGTTAATATTGTAGAAGTATTCCTAATTATGATTTCTTTGTATTCCTAATTGTAATAGCTTTGTATTTGAAAAATTATTGATTCATACTCTATATGTTATTATTTTGTATGTGATGACAACAGAATATATTATCATGCTCCTTTTGTGAATCTCATTCATAATATAAAGTATAAATTTGTGATTTTGCTTTAATTTGAAATATTAACTTCAAATATGTTATCACAATTTGATACAAACTATTGACAGTAAATCTGTGGATTAAGTAATGTCTTAGTAGGTATTGGGAAAATTTGAAACTAGTAACATGGAGGACTATTGTCATTGTTTATTTCAAAGCCAGTTAAAATTCTGCAAAGCAGTGTACATAAAAATAATTTCAAGAAATTTATAAAATACCGAGATTATGGTGTATAAACAACTTTAGATTCTTTGTTTAAGAAATTCTGCCAGTTTGTAATATATGCTTCATTCAAAGTAGCTAAGGGCTGTACCTGGCTAATAGTAGGCACCTAATATTTGTTGAAAAGGAATACTGAGTAGCTGGGACCTCCTGAGTAGCTGGGACCACACACATTTAACCTGTATTTATAAAATTACTGTTTAGAGAATAACATTTGATGGAATCATGCTTTTACTTTCTGCTTACGACTCAATTGTTTGTACTGACATTAACATCCCAAATCCTTAGCATGGCCTACAAGGCCCTGAGCAATGTGGCACCTGCTGAAGCCTGCTGCCTCATTTAATAACTCTTTGTCTCTTTCCCAGATCCAGCCACTCTAACATTTTTTAGCTCCTGGACCAAGACAAGCTCTTCCCAGAACCTGACCTTTGTACCTGTTCTTTATTCCTGGAGTATTTTTCCCCTGACAAATTACTTATCGTCTATCATAATTCAGGTTAAATGGCACTAACTCAGGGAAGGCTTCCCTAACTGCCTCCCTTCTCCAACCAAATTAGGAACAATTATATGGCCACATAGTATTGAATCAAGTTTATAATTTTAAAATAATTGGGAGATTTTGTTGTTTAACACTTGTTTTCACTATAAGACTGTAATTACATGCAAGTAAGAACCATGCCTGTTTGTTCACTCCTGCCACAGTCAGAATAGTGCCTGGAATATGCAGTAAGGGCTGAACAAGCACTAAATAAATGAACAAGTGAATAAATGGATATTGTCTCATTTTTAGAACAGAGTACTGAATGGATCATGAACACTATCTGGTATGTCACGTAGGTAATTTACAAGGGCTACAATTTCAGCTCAGATTTACCTTTTCCTGGATACAGGTCTTGATAGGTCTCTTGATGTCATTTCACTTCAGATTCTTCTTTAGAAAACTTGGACAATAGCATTTGCTGTCTTGTCCAAATTGTTACTAAGAATCAAGAGAGATATCTGACATGAAATGACATTGGAAAACATTAAACACGATTGAAATAATGCTAGCCAATATGGTTATTATTAGAAACCAATTACATTTTCAACTTAAAAATAGTAATACTTATTGCAGACTCAAATGTGCTTATTCTAAAACAAGTAAATGTTTGCCTATGGTCTGAGATTCTAATCCACGGAGTTCATTCTAATCCACATTCAACACTATCATGTACCAGTGGGCCTCATAACCCACCTAGCCCTGTGATTTTTCAGGTTCACTTTTCTAAACTTGTGAATTAAATATTTATTTTCTTAGTTCAGAAGAGGAAAAAAACTCTTGTAATTGTTGCCCATTTCAGGAGAAATCTTGCATATGAAAACAAGAGATAAATATACACAACTGAGGGCTGTGGTTTAAACAAAATCTTGAGAATGTTTTTTGACCTTATACATTTGTGCTTTAGTATAACAAAATGATATAGACAAAGGTAACTTTTAATAGAACCAGTCACTAAATTAAAAAAATGACAAATTCTTCTGCTTAGCTAAGCAACAGAGAAGGTAAAATACTAATTCAATTCATCAATTTAAGCAATACTCATTAAGAGCCAAGTATGTGCTTACTGAATAAGCTGCTAAGGTTTGGTGGTTACAGAGTGTGCGGTGAAATGATGTCTACATCACAGTCCAACATTCACAGAGTTTAAAAGCCTACCAAGAATCAAGACAGACACAAATACCTAACATAGACATTTGTATATGATAAGAGAGCCAGAGTACAATTTAGGAGAAGAAATTGTATGGAAGGAAGGTTCATTTCCATTAGACCAGAAAAGACAGCACATTTGAAGGCCTGAATAAGAAATATTCTGGATAAGATATTGTGGCTGCTACCAGAATGGCTCTTGATGATCTCTACCTCTTGGTATTTATACCCTTATATAATCTCTTTCCTATAGTGTAAGCTGGTCCCAGGTACTTGTTTCTATTGAATAGAATAGAACAAAAGAAATGAGATGCCACTTCTGAGATTAGATTATAAGATACTGTGAATTTCTTCTTGTGCCCTCTCCCTCTCTCTCTTTCTCTTGCCCTCTCATTTGAATGAAGCCAACTGGCATGCTGTCAGTGGCCCAGTGTAAGTCCTGTTACAAGAAATTGATGATTACCTGTAGCCAACCCTAAGTGAAGAACTGAGGTCCTCAGTCCTACAAATGGAGAGAAACTGAATCTAGCTAAGAACCATGTGAGTGAGCTGGGAAGAAGATCCACCCTCAGTTGAAATTTAAGATGACATATTGAGCAGACATACTGAGACACACTGAAAGTAAGAGAGCAGGAGGAAACAAAACCAGGGTCATACAAAGAACACAACTGATTTTGAGATTCTCACATAAGTATTACACCTTCAGTGAGCACGTGTACTAGAAATTTAAAAAATAAATAAAATAAACCTTCAAAGAGAGCTAGCAAATAAATTTCCCTATGGTCTCAGCTCTGAGTGGAGAGAGAAAATGTTCCCTGTGGAGTTTATAGCCAGAATCCAGCCTCAAACAGGTTTCAGCCTGAACTCACACAATCTGTGTGGCTTCCAAATTTGCAAGCTGAGAATTTAATTCAAAGTGGTCTCAGGTTGATAGCAGTCCAAAATGCTAGGTAGGAAAAAAAATCCTCTCTGGACAAATAAATCATCAAAGCAAGCTCATAAGAGCAGGTTTCAAAGGTCATGAGCTTCTAACACACACACAAAAATCACACACACAAAATGGGGGTAGCAGCAACATGGGTAGCGTATTCAAACTTGAAAAGACTTTAAATATTTGTATTATTAGATGTAGATTATGAAACACATATTTTAATGTGGTTAATTTTTTTAAGGAATCAAAACTATGAGTAAAGACCAAGAAAATTGTGCTGGATGGCCACTTCCACCATGGCTCCCCTCCTATTTAAGTCTGGGTACTGTGTCACCCGAAGTCTTCAGGCACATTGTTCCAGGTCTGGGTTTGCCTATGAAAGAAACTCATGAGAGCTGGAAATGAGGAGTGAAGAGGAGGTCTTCAAATAAAGCAGGCTTAAGGATTAGACATAGCAGGTTTGACAGATGTGATGGCTTGCAGAATCCTTTATGAGCTCCCACTGTCCATCTGGATAAGATTTACAGACCTTTCAGAAATTCCTATAAGCTTGGGTTCTGTGCCCACACTCTAGACTGTCAGGCTAAGATCTCTGATATAAAACAGACCTCTTCTGATTTTGTCTAGCTGCTTTTCTAATATCTATTCACCAAGCTCTTCCAATAATAGCATAAGGCCCTAATTAATATTAAACTTTTATCATTATAATACATAGGATGTCTTCTGTTTTCCTGATCAAATTCTGACTACTATTAAAATATAAAGAATTGTCCAGAAATATATAAAAAAAGAATCACACATTGATCTTCTTTAAATGAAAATATAACAATTGTATGGACTAGGATGATTACAGTTGTTCAGTTCTGACTGTTATTTGAAGAAAAAAGCAATAAGAAGCCTCAGCAACTTAACAGAAGGAGCTGCCATTTACTAGGAGAAAAGATTGTGGATGAGAGTGTAGCAAAGGTCAGAATTCTGTGAAGCTTGAGATGTTTATTATAATGAATTATCTTTTATACTCACTACAATTTCCTAACAATTTTGGGGTTTATATTTTTGAAAGAGATATACCTTTAATTTTCTTTCTTTGTACTATTGTTAGGTAACTTTGATGTGCAGATTATACTACAGTGAAAGTTGCCAATGACAAGGCAAAGTCACTTACATCAGACCCAAAGCAAAGTGGAGCCGGGTCATGAAAAAGGGGATCTTGTGTGTCTGTCCACGATAAGCACTATCACAAGGACTTTCTATAAACTCACAAGAAATTTCTGCCCACCCAGCACACTCTGTTTGTCCAGCTCATCCTGTAGGTGTTTTATAATAGGACCTATCATAAAAAATTCCTCAAGACTGCAGCATTTCAGATAAGCCACCCTCACAAGAACACTTGCCTAGCAATGGCTGTTTCTGCCAGTAAGTTAACACCAGCTCCTGCATCAGACCCTGTGACCAATGATGTTTGTTTCAAAACAGCTTGCATGGACTTCTTTTTGTCTTTACATATTTTCCTTACCTCAACCTCTTGGGATGCACCTATGATTGATCATAGCACAAATATCTCAGATTATAATCCTTGTTTATTTCCAAATAAATTTATTTCTTTGGAGATCCACTTTTTCTGTTATTATACATTGACATTGTTATTATGAAATTGGTTGGGTGATGTGTCTTATTTTCTTGTCTCCAGAAGAATTTCTGTAACAGTGCAATTAAACGTTCTTTGCATGTTTGCTAGAACTCACCTGTAAAATTGTCTGAGCAACCAAAGCCTGGTTTTTGTGTTTAGTTTTTCTTTTGTGATTGGGGAGGGGGGTTTATCGTACTGATTCAAGGTGTGAAGGTAACATCATTTTGATTTTATACATCTTCTTCAGTCCATTTAAGCATGTTACATAGCGTTGTTTGTTCTTTTCATGATATTCTTTACAGTAGTCTCCTAAATGTTCCCTCTGCTTCTGCCATGAGCCCCTACAATCTATTTCAACTCAGAAGCTATAGAGTTTGTTTAAAACATGTAACATATTATGCCACCTTTCTTACTGTAAAACATCCCATGGTTTCTCGTAGTATTTATAGTAAAAGTGAAATTTTTATGATGGCTTGAGAAACTTTTCCCATTAGATGCCCAAGTGCTGGTCTGGTCTGATCTTCTCATCTTCCCTTGGGTGATTCTGTGGCAGTCACACTAGCCTCCTTGCTGCTCCACAAAAACTCCAGCATGATCCTACTTCAGGATATTTGCCATTGTTACTGCATCTGCCTGGAACCTTTTCTCCCATATAAACATAGAGATTGCTCTTGCCTGTCCTTCAAGTCTATTCTTAAATGTCCCATTCTCTGTGAAGCTTTCCTGCCCACCCTATTTAAATTACAGACTTCACTCCCAATTCCCCATCTACTTTAAGAGTCTTCATTTATCATTCCTTGACAAACTGTAAATATACATGTTCACTTTTTTATCATCTGTCTCCAAATACTGGAATGTTAAGTTCTGTAATGTCAGATATTTCTGTTTGGTTCACTGGTGTATTCTTAAAGCATGTTACATACTAGGTATACTCAATGAATATTTGTTGAATAAATATCACATTGGGCTTATTCCAGAAATTCAAGCTTGTTTCAATAGTTAGAGCAATCTACAAATGTAATTCATTACATTAACTAATTAAAGGAGCTAAATCACATCACCACCACAATAATGCAGAAAACCACATTTGATACAACTCAATATTCATGTCTGCCTAACAAACATCTCATGATACTAGGAAAAGAGGAAGGGATATATTATTTTCATGTATAAAGCACTAACCATTGTAGCATGCCAATATACTCAAAATTCATTGAAATTCCTATCAAAATCTTAGCATTCCTCTTAGTCCTCAACAAAGCATTTCTAAAATGTGTATAGAAGACCAAAGGGCCAAAAGAGTCAACTTCTGAAGAAGCGCAAAAAGAAAGTTGAGGAAATCTTAAAACATGTTATTGAGCTTAAAGTTGCAAAAATAAACTCATGTACCATAATTCATGAGTAGAAAAATGGACTAGTGGAATAACATAAAAATAAAAACAATGCTTACATAAAATGTTGTAACTGATTTGGATGTCATTAGAAATCAGTAAGTAAATAGATGGACAATGTAATGAAAGATGCTAGGCAAATAATGTGGTAGGGAGAATAATGGCCCTCAAAGATGCCCATGCCTAACCCTGGAACCTGTGAATATGTTACACTGAATGCAATAAAGGCTTATCAGATGTGATTAAGGATGCAAACCGAGATGGAGAGATCTTCCTGGGTTACCCAGATGGGCCCAGTCTAATCACATGAGTTCTTAAAAATGGAGAACCTTTCTTAGCTGAGTCCAGAGAGAGATGTGACAATGAAAGAATGGTCAGAGAAATGTGACATTGCCAGCTTTAAAAAGAGAGAGGAGAGGCAATGAGAAAAGGAATGCTGATGTTCTCTAGAAGATAGAAAAGGCCAGGATATGGATTCTACCCTAGCCACCATAAAGAAACATGCCTGTCGACAACTTGATTTTAGTTCACTAAAATTCATGCCTGATTTCTGACTTGTGTACACTGTAAGATGACAAGTTTGTGTTATTTTAGGTCACTTAGTTTGTAGAAATTTGTTACAGCAGTAATAGAACAAGTGGTTATCCATATGAGGCAAATTAGATTGGATACCTATCTCCAATAGAAATCAATTCAAGGTGAATTCCAGGAAAATACTTAAAACATTTAGATTAAAAATAAATGAGAATTTTTGTTACTTTTGGTAGGTCATAGAACCAAGAAAAACAAACATTAAGGAGGAAAAATGAACATATGACTACATCAAAATATAAAGCTTCTCTATTTGGAAGATATCATAAGGTGACAAATCATAAACTGTAATATTTACAACATATATATAAGTGAATAAATATACATTTAGAATATATATGAACTCCCAAAAATCAACAGGAAAAATAAGACATAGAACAAGCAAAATGCATAAACAAAAGAAGGCAAAACAAAAATAATGACTCATAATTATATGAAAAGAAGCTCATCTTCATAGATGAGCAGATAAATGCAAATTAAAACCACCCTGAGATGCTTTTTACATCCATGAGCCTGATAAAAGTTAGAGTCTAAAAGTAATAATTAACAAAGATGGGAAGTAACAGAAAATCTTGTCCATTACTGGTTAAAGTATAAACTGATACAGCTACTTTATAGAATATTACATTATAGAATAAAGTTGTGAGTATGTATATGCAGTGACTCAGCATATTCATTGCTAGTATGTACTCAAGAGAAACTTACAGGAGTGGACTAGGAAGTAAATACAAAATGATTACAACATTGTTTGTTATATCAAAAAATAAAAAAGACACCCAATTTTCCAGCAAAAAAAATAAGTAAAAATAAATCCTGGTGTATTCTAACAATGGAATAATATATAGCCATTAAAATAAATCAACTATTACTGTACATATGAATGTAAGTATCAGCAAAACATATTGTTTAGTGAAAAACTAAGAAGCTGAAGAAGAATATATACAATATGGTTACATTTATATGAAGTCCAAAAACTTGCAAAATAAAGAAATGTATTTAGAAATAGATTCACATGTGAGAAAACTAGAAGAAAATTAATGAAAGGATAAGAGGGATAGCAGTAATTCTGAGTAGTTGAGGGAATTTCAATTGGAAAAAAATAATATCATATTCTTTAAGTCAGGTAGTGGGTATTAGCATTTGTTTTACCATCGTTCTTTATTCTTATAGCTACACTATATATTTTCAATGTATTTAATGTATTTTTTGCATAATTAAATATTATGCAATAAAAATGAGAAAACAAAAAAGTAGAAAATGATAAATTACAATAAAGAAATGGAGAAAAAATTATAATCTAGTTGAGTAATGGTATATTACATAGCTATTTTCTTAAGTAGATGTATGTACATGATGTATGCACGATTGTACATACATGTTCTTAATTATATATAAATATATATGTACATATTTTTAATATAAAATACTAAACAAAGTACACCAAAATATTAGCTCCTATGTTAGTGAGATAATGTTTTGTTTTTTTGTATTTTAAGTTTTACATAGTAGGTGTATTTTTCTATTTTCATACTGCTATAAAGAACTGCCCAAGACTGGGTAATTTATAAAGGAAAGAAGTTTAATTGGCTCACAGTTCAGCACAGCTTGGGAGGCCTCAGGAAATCTACAATCATGGCGGAAGACAAAGAGGAAGCAAGCCAGCTTCTTCGCAAGGCAGCATGAAGAAGTGCCGAGCAAAGGGGAAAGAATCCCTTATAAAACCATCAAATCTCGTGAGAACTCACTATCACAAGAACAGCACAGGGGAAACTGCCCCCATGATTCAATTACCTCCACCTGGTCTCTCCCTTGACCTGTGGGGATTATGGGGGCTATGGGGATTACAATTCAAGACGAGATTCAGGTGGGGATACAAAGCCTAACCATATCAGTAGGCATGTATTGAATTTTAAACTCAGAGAAAAATACTAGTGTTTTTATAGGATTCTTACTAAAGAAAAACCAGAAAGTAATAAACCATCTACGCTAAGACATAAAATTCAGTTGTTTAGTTACAAGATAGAATGTGGCCTTGTAAGAAAGCAAATTAACTTCTAACATACAAAGCCTTAGAGAAGATTCAAGTGACTGACGGATCTTAAACAGAGCTATTATTACAACTTGAACTGCAGTAAAATATCCTCAGCAACATAGATGTGTATGTTTCACTAGTCAGAGCAATACAAATTTAATGAAACTCCATTGGTGGTGTTTTTAATCAGACAATTTCTGAAGATGTCCTGGCTTATTCACAGATGCAAGCCAAATCTCTAGAAGAGTACCATAATAAGAAAAAAAAGAATACAGGCAATTGAGAGCTGTTCCAAAGTTTAGGGAGTTTTTGTAAGGAATTAATAAATAAAAATGTTCTTGAAAGAGAGAAATTAATATGCAGTTCATACTGCCAGAATTGCAGGCAATTTATCAAAGTCCCCTAATCCTCCAAAATCGCTATTTTTTTTTTTTGACACACACTTTACAGTACAGAAGAAAATGTCTCCGGCAATAAATCACAAAGTTAAAATTACCTAGTCTACAATTAACTACACAGTGATGGTAAATCATTTTCTACCAAAAGAAAGAAATGTCTTGTCTATTCAGGTTCTGCTCTACTTAAAAGTTTTCCTTGTTGGCGAGCAAGTGGTTAGAAAATCATATTTTATACGTACATTCAGCTTAACTATCATTCAGCTCAGGAAGATGACTCAGGGCCTTATCCATACCTTCAAGTTTGCTCTTAGCAAGTAATTGTTTCAGTATCTATATCAAAAATGGCTTAAGCCTGCAACATGTTTCTGAATGATTAACAAGGTGATAGTCAGTTCTTCATTGAATCCTGGATGCTTTATTTTTCTTAATAAGAGGAATTCATATGGATCAGCTAGAAAAAAATTAAGAGGAAAATCACATGGAAAGTTATATATTATATATCTATTATATATAATATTATATATCTATTATATATAATATTATATATCTATTATATATTATATATTGTATATCTATTACATATATAATATTATATATGTATTATATATATTATATATTATATATCTATTATATATATAATATTATATATTATATATCATTTCCAAATTCCCCAGCGTTCATATTTGTCAGTGCAAGTAAAGAGCCTTACTGCTGATGAGGTTTGAGGTATGACCATTTGGCCAGAATTTATGAACTCTACATGTCGCTTGATGTGTGCCTCAGGGTATACTTTTTTTTTTTTTGAGACGGAGTCTTGCTCTGTCGCCCAGGCTGGAGTGCAGCGGTGCGATCTCAGCTCACCGCAAGCTCCGTCTCCCGGGTTCATGCCATTCTCCTGCCTGAGCCTCCTGAGTAGCTGGGACTACAGGCGCCCACCACTATGCCCTGCTAATTTTTTGTATTTTTAGTACAGACGGGGTTTCACCGTGTTAGCCAGGATGGTCTCGATCTCCTGACCTCGTGATCCACCCGCCTCGGCCTCCCAAAGTGCTGGAATTACAGGTGTGAGCCACCACGCCCGGCCAGGGTACACTTTTAAGCAGAGACACTACTTTGAAGGTCATAAAAAATATAATAAGAGATAAGGCTAATTTCCTTTAATAATAATAAAATCCTTTAATAAAAATATAAAGGAATAATATAATAATTTTCTTTAATAAAATATAATAAGAGATAAGGCTAATTTCCTTTAATAAAATATAGTAACTACATACCAACAGAATTCCAAAAAAAGAAATGGAGAGGAAGGGAGCATGGGTCATTAATCTTGTCAAAAATATAAAATTATATACGAGGAATTCCTAGAAACTGTTTTCCTTGTCTGCGGCCATTGTGCTGCTGCTACACAACTACCGCAAGCAGCCCTTCACGCCCTCCTCCCAGTACAAAGCTAATTGACTTGTGAGAAATGTTAAGCTTGGAAGAGTCAGCATCGCTGCACTTATTTTTTATTCTACTCTGACATTAGAATAATCCTTGAGTGGGGGAAAGGTTAAAAACCCCCCTGGATAAGTGTTACTAATTAATGATGATTGTTTTAAACAATGTTTGGATAATTTTTCCTTGTCCCTTGACATAAACTTGATAAATAACTGAGAAGTGAGAAGGAGATTAGTGGGTTGATTAAATTCCATTCAGGTACTTAAAGTTAGCTCCAAAAATTTAGCTATTTGTAAATTGTCATGCATTGTTAATGTATAAGAGATGTAGATTTCATTTATCTTTGGTGGAGCGAGATGAAGCAGTGAATCATTGAAGACTGAAAGAAAGAAAAAGGTCTTTTCCCTTTTCTTTAAGAAGCATCATTAGTTAAAAACATGTTAGTTGATACCAGAGAACTATATTTAAAGGGACAGCAATAAGCAAATTGATTACTCTGGTGATTATTGGAGTGACATTGCCTTTTAGTTGTACTTTCACAAAAATTCACAATATTTGCCAAAGTCAAGTTATCCATTACACTATTAATTTGTCATTCTTTTGTTTATATAGTCAATATCTCTATCTCAATTGGATCTATCTCAACTGCTTCTAAACAAGCCACCATAGTCTCTCCCATTTCAACAATCTCTTCCAAGTACCACTTCATTTCTTCTTTTCATATTTTTGAAAACTTTTGAAAAACTACCTATTTTCCTCCTCCATTTCTTGTTCATTCCATTCTAGTGGACATGGAATCTGTTCCTCCTCCAAAACGGAATTTGGTCACCCTTAAATTACTAAACCCAAAACAATATGTTGTCTTTATCTTTACCTCTCTGTGGCATTTAATGATAAGACCACTACTTTCTTCTCTTTTACCCTTCTTTCTTGAATTCAGTCAAACAACGTACTTACATTTTTCGTCTTATTCTCCATCTTAGAAACCACCTCAGCTTTCTCCATTCAGCTATAAAATTGTGCTTTTCCTCAAAGATTAATCTGCCTCTCCTCTCACTCTATACTATCTCTGTTAGCTAATTTTATTTGTGCACATTGCTTATACTGGGCATTCTATACACATATGCATGTGTGTACATGTGCACACACACACTGTATGTGGACATGTATATATATATGTGTGTGTGTGTATATATAGTATATATATAAATTACAATAACATAAAGGTGGCATTTTAAATTAGTGGAAATTACCCTGATTTGATCACTACACATTCTATACATGTAAAGAAAATATCACTCTGTATCCCAAGAATATGTACAATTATGGTTTGTCAAATGAAAAAGTTCATACATTGAAAAATTTTAGATAAATATCAAACTTTCTCTGAAACTGTAACTGTAAAATGTAAAAAACAGTAATTGCTATATTGCTTATTTCTGAGTAGAAGAATATGAGACATTTCCCTAATCATTATGTGTAATTACAATTACATATATATATGTAATTGTAATTACACATAATGATTAGGGAAATGTCTCATATTCTATATATATAGACAGAAAGAGAGAAAATATATGAGGGAGAGAAGGAATCTTTCCATCTCCTTTGAGTTCCACGGTGTTGAGAGTCAGGACAACTGCAATTGCTTCATCATGCCTGCTTGCAATTATAGGGCTTTTGAACCATTTGTTCCCTCCTTAGATATCCTCATTTTTTTCAGATTCTTGCTTAGAAGTCACTCCTCCGTGGACCTCCTCTGACATATTAAACATTGCAGTCCATTATAAGCTGCAAGAGGACAGGGATTTTTGCCTGTTTTATTCCCTACTGTATCACCAGGGGCTACAGCAATATCTGACAAACAGTGGGCATGTAATGAATATTTGTTAAGTGAAGTAATAAATTCAATCAAATCACATCACCTGTTTAAAGCACTTCATTGGCTTCACATTGCACTTAGAATAAAGAGAAATTCTTTTTATACAATATAAGTTCCTGCAGAATGCAGACACTTTCTACTTCTCCAGCCTCTTTTCGACTCCTCTCCTACTAGCTTCTGTATTTAAGCCACATTAGACCTTTCTTCAGTTTTTTATATAGACTTTGTCGCATCACACCTCAGAGATTCTGTACATGTTCTTCCTCCTGCCTAGAAAGGATCGTCCCTCCACTTTTGCCAACTAATCCCTGCTCAACTTTTCATCTCAGCAGGAGGCCCATTCTCTTTGGCAATCCTCTGGCCTCCAGCCCATTTATTATATGCTCACATGTCAACATGTACTTCGTACAGCATGTAACACAATTGCACTTTTATATTTTAACAAATTATATTTCCCATATTGAACTGTAAGTCTCCTGAAAGCAGGAATTTTGTTCTTGCTCATCATCAACTTTTTCAACATCCAGTGCACCATTTAGAACTTAGATGTAGTCAATACAGGTTTGTGGAATGAAAGAGGAAAAGAAAGAATTAATATTCCTTTAAATTAGGATGGCAAAGATCGTATATAGAAAATTGGCTAAGTTGTGGTCCATTCATGTTTGCTCCCAATTAAGGAGCACAGCTATGAAAAGGAAGGCTTCAAATTAATAACCAATAGATTTTTTTAAAAAGAAAACTGGCCAGGTACTGTGGCTTATGTCTGTAATATCAGCATGTTGGGAGGCCAAGGCAGGATTACTTGAGCCAAGAAATTCCAGACCAGCCTGAGAATTTGGCAAAACTCTGTCTCTACAAAAAATACAAAAATTAGCCAAGTTTGGTGGCATGTGCCTGTAGTACCAGCTACTTGGGAGGCTGAGGTGGAAGAATAGCTTGAGTCTGGGAGGTCAAGGCTGCAATGAGCTGTGATTGCACCACTGCACTCAAGCCTGGGTGGTAGAGTAAGACCCTGTCTCAAAAAAAAAAAAAAAAAAGAAAAATCACTAAGCAAAATAAGACATGTGAAGGATCATGTCAAAGGTAAGAAAAATTAGGGGAACATTAAAAGCTTTCTTCCCAAGCCACTAAATCAACTTGACTAACAAAATTACCACTTGATTTAGCATTAGAAAATTACATTACATATCAAACATAAACCCATTAATCAAATACTAAAGAAATTTCTGAGTTAAATGGTATAATGTTAGCTTATGCCAGAGCTGACCTTGAAAGATTGTTCAAATATGGCTCAGTGTGATTGAAAGTTCAGTGTGAATATGTTTTTGGAAAGATCCAACAGCAACACCTTAGTGTATGTTTTTGAAATAAAATGTATCTGAGTAGCAGCAAAGTTATTCTCAAATTTCCATTTTATAGCTGGAGATGTTATACCGTGACGTATATGATAGGACCCAATATGGATCAATCCCTTTTAGAAGTCAATCAGGAAGAGGGGAGCAGTTAAAACAGTTGCTTGGTTTACAAACATTAGAACAATTTTCTTATTCACACCATCTGATTATTGTATTTTATTTTTTCCCCAACGTTTAGACTACACAATGAGTTAAGAATGATAAAAATAAGCTCACCAATATACTATGTACATATTTACCAAAATCTGTGCATGCTTATACATATAAACACAGCTGATAATTTATTAGTTAGGCTCATTTGTAATTTTTGTCACTATAGACCAGTTTTTTATTTAAATTGAAGATTAGTATACATTTTAAATGATTAGTCAAAATAAAAAATCTAAAATGTGCTCTAAATACCTCTTAGGTCAGAAAAAAAAAGTCAAAAGCTAGAGTATAGAGAAATTAAGAAACGCCCTAAATTTCTAATCTGACAAAAATTCATACAAGATTTAAATATTTTAATGGAAAATAGAACAGAACTAATTATTGAAGAAATTATAGAAAGGAAACAAAATAAACAGATTATATGGAGGATTTTTAGAAGATAAGTAAATAAATTAATATACTAGGAAAAAACAAGGGAAATATACTTGATAAATAAATACAGGTAAGAGTTCTTTTGAAATAATGATAAAATAGAAAATCTCTGTCAAAACTAAAAGGAAAGATGCATAAATATATAAATAAATGATAAAAAATGTTGCATACATATATGACTTTTTCAGAATCAAAAAATTTAAATTTCTGTAATAAAATTTAAATGTTTATAAATTTAAAAAACTAGAAGAAAGAATGTTGACTGTTCACAATACAAATAAATGACAAATATTTGAGGTGATGGATATGCTAATTATCCTTATTTGATCATTGGGCATTGTATACATGTATCAAAATATCACTCTGTATCCCATGAATATGTACAATTATTTGTCTCAAAAACAAACAAAAAAAAGATAATGGGAGAATGTTGAAAACTCAGAGAGAAGAGCAACTCTCACAGATAGGGATCCAGATAACATTAGCAGCTGATTTCTCGGCAGAAACCTTGAAGGCCAGTAGGCAGTGGATTATATATTTAAAATAATGAAGAAACCTGTCAATTGAGAAATATATAGCTGGAAAACTTATCCTTCAAAAATGAAGGAGAAATTAAGACATTTCCGGATTTTTTTTTAAAACTGAAAAAAATCCATTTATCCCTGAATTTGACATTCAGGAAGTGTTAAGTCCTTCAGGTTGAAATAAATGAACTCTAGGCAATAACTATGTAAGTAAATAAGCAAGCTGTATGAATATACAAAGCTCTCTGGTAAAGGTAAATACATAAACATAAAAACAGTCCTATTGTAATTTTGGTTTGTAACTCTGCTTTTTATTTTCTACATAATTTAAAAGGCAAATGCATAAAATGTAATTGTAAATCTGTTAGCTGGTATACAATGAATAAAGATATAATTTGTCACATCAATAACATAAAAAGAGTAGAGCTATATATATAGCAGTAGAATTTTGGTATGTGATTGAACTTAAGTTGAAATAAATTCAAATTAAAATGTTATAACTCTAGGATGTTATATGTAATTCTCATAGTAACCAAAAATGAAATATATATAGAATATAAACAAAAGGAAATGAGACTAGAAACAAAATGTGTCACTACAAAAAAATCAACTAAAGATAAAAAAGAAATAATTGAGAAAATGATTGGCAAAAATCAGTAACTCTGACGTATTAAAACTTTCCATGCTACATAAATCTGAAAACTCTATTTCACATAAAACTGGAGCTGAAAGAAACAAATATTTACCTATAAAGTTAAAAGTTATATAGGGAACAAACACTAATTTTTTTTAGAAAAAATTATAAAAAGAGTAAAAATATGCCTTATACTACCGTAATTTCATGTTTTACAGCTCTGGGAAAATAGAAAATAAAATGTTCTGTTAGCATGAATCCCTCTGTGCCCCCAAAAACCCTATGGATTGCATCATTATTACCTAAAAAGTCTATTCTCAAATGCAGCAGAGTGATATTTTTTACAAGGTAGATATTAATTTTAGATATGGAATAATATTGGTGATTTCAATTTTATAACACTGGGTTAAGATGAAAGAATGAGAAGATAAAGGTCCCTCAGCAATATAACTCACAAACATGTTCAGAAGCAGTAAGAAGTTACATTAATTATCTTTTGAAAGTCGATAATCTACATCTTTAATGTATGCATATAGCATAGCTAATGTACTATCGCTGGGTCCATTTATTCAATGAATAATTGCCGCTATGTGTCAGACATTTTTCTAGGCCTAGGAATGGATACATAAGTGAACAAAGCAAAGATTCTGGTTCTTGTAGAGTTTCCATTAAAAGACCATTTAGTAAAACTTTTCTTCCCCCAAATTATAAAATCTGTAAGATGATTTAACAACATGTGTAAAAGTCATTGTGGGCCAGGCACGGTGGCTCATACCAGGTGTGGTGACTCATAGCACTCTGTCACCCAGGCTGGAGTGCAGTGGCACAATCTCTGCTCACTGCAACCTCTGCCTCCTGGGTACAAGCGATTCTCCTGCCTCAGCTTTCTGAGTAGCAAGGACTACAGGTGCACACCATCACGCCTGGCTAATTTTTGTACTATTAGTACAGACGGAGTTTCACCATGTTGGCCAGGCTGGTCTCGAACTCCTGACCTCAAATGATCCGCCCACCTCGGCCTCCCAAAGTGCTGGAATTACAGATGTGAGCCACAATGCCCGGCCTTATTTTCTACAACTTTGGTAACTTTAGCATATACCCCAAATCTGTAAGACATAATATTATAATTCAAATGCAACTCATGGCTTCTCTTTGTACTCTTTCTCTAGCTTTTGAATTATTTATTCTAATACCAGTTTTAATTCTGACACAAAATCATGGGAGTTCTAATCAAAATCCAACCTTTTATCATAAAAACTATGAAGAAATTATGAGTAGAATTTAAAAAGGAAAATAGGCCTATTAATTAGATTTGTCTTTGTAGCATTTAACTCTATAATAAATAATATTTTATGCCTATGAGTCCCCAACAAAGCCTCCAGCTTCTATTTAGATACAAACTGTAAAAGTCACTACTGGATCCACAAGCAAGACTATGGTAAATAAATTTCTCCACCTAACCAGCTTCTTTTACATGATGTTACATGTTTCTTTTGTTTTTTCATTTTGGCAAATATTGATTGTCATCTTCGTGTTTGTCTATGTCCTAAGTGCTGGGATACAGAATCTGAAAAGATGGACACAGGACCTGCCTTCAAGTTCACCCCCTTTTTTTTTTTTTTTTTGAGATGCAGTTTTGCTCTTGTCACCCAGGCTGGAGTGTAATGGTGAGATCTCTGCTCACTGCAACCTCCACCTCCAGGGTTCAAGTGATTCTCCTGCCTCAGCCTCCCAAGTAGCTGGGATTACAGGTCCCAGCCACCACGCCTAGCTAATTTTTGTATTTTTAGTAGAGACAGCGTTTCATCATGTTGGTCAGGCTGGTCTCGAACTCCTAACCTCAGGTAGTCGACCCACCTCGGCCTCCCACAGTGCTGAGATTACAGGCATGAGCCACCACGCCCTGCTAGGAGTTCACGCTTTAGTTGGGGAAAATATACAATAAGCAAGCCAGTTTTTAAAATGAGAACTGCAATTAGAGTTAAATGCTACAAAGACAAACTCACAGGAAGATGGGATGTAGAATGATAAGGCTCTCAGAATAGTAAGAGAAACTATTGCTTCTTACGATGTTTGTCTTTCTTTGTATCGGTGCTCAGCTGAGTCTGCAGTGCTTCAGAGGCAGCTTTCATTTTATAAAAATCTATGATTTCTCCTTCCAGTTGTTTTTTCTCTTCCTCGAGCTTCCTTATCTCCTCCTGTTGAATCATTTTAAGATGCTCGAACTTGTCCTGCAGCTGTGAAACCAATGTGCAGTTGTGACACCAAAGCAGTGTGGCTGAACACCTAAAAGAATACGCTTTTTTTCTGATTATCAAACAAACCCAAATCATCACAGTAGAGCACGATCTTAATAACAATCTCAAAAACTCAGGAGTAAACACTCAGATATGGAATTTTTCTTTTCTTTCTTTTTTCCTTTTATAAGATGGAGTCTCACTCTGTTGCCCAGGCTGGAGTGCACTGGTGCGATCTCAGCTCACTGCAACCTCCCTCTCCCAGTTCAAGTGATTCTCCTGCCTCAGCCTCTTGAGTAGCTGGGACTATAGGCATGCACCACCACTACAGGCGTGTGCCACCACACCTGGCTAATTTTTGTATTTTTAGTAGAGATGGGGTTTTGCCATGATGGCCAGGCTGGTCTCGAACTCCTGACCTCAGGTGATCCTCCCGCTTTGGCCTCCCAAAGACTTTTTTTTTTTTTTTTTAATATAGAGACAAGTTCTCAGTACGTTGCCCAGGCTGGTCTCAAACTCCTGAGCTCAAGTGATCCTCCCACCTCAGCTTCCCAAAGTGCTGGGACTGACTGGATGCAGTGGCTCATGCTTGTAAACTCAGCACTTTGGGAGGCCAAGGTGGGAGGATCGCTTGAGCCCAGGAGTTCAAGACCAGACTGGGTGATATAACACAATAGTCAACTTCAACAGGAGAGAGAATCTGTAAACTTGAATATAGATCTTCCGAAATTATCCAGTCAGAGGACAGAGAAAAAAAGAATAAAAGAGAGAAAAGAAGGCTGGGTGTGGTGGCTCAAGCCTGTAATCCCAACACTTTGGGAGGCCGAGGCAGGCAGATTAAGAGGTCAGGAGTTCAAGACCAGCCTGTCCAACATGACAAAGCCCCATCTCTACTAAAAATACAAAAATTAGCCGGGTGTGGTGGCACACACCTGTAGTCCCAGCTACTTAGGAGGCTGAGGCAGGAGAATCGCTTGAACCCAGGAGGCGGAGGTTGGAGTGCAATGTGAGCCGAGACCACACATTACACTCCAGCCTGGGTGACAGAGCATGACTCTGTCTCAAAAAGAAAAAAAAAAGAGACAGAGAAAAGAAAGCCAACAAGACACCATTAAGCAAACCATTGTCAGGTTATGGGAGTTTGAGAAGGAAAGTAGAGAAAGGAGAATAAAGCTTATTTAAAGAATGGCTGACAACTGCCTAAATCATGGGAAAGATTTAGACATCTAAATCCATGAAGCTTAAAGATTCCTAAAGAGGTTCAAACCAAATAGATACTCACCAAGTCACAATATAATCAAATAGTCAAAAGTTAAAGAAACTTTGCAGGTCAGGACAGAATCGAATAATACATTCAAAGTGCTGAAAGAAAAAAACTGCCAGCAACTAATACTATGTCTGACAAAGCTGTCCTTCAGAAAGGAAAAAGAAATAACGTGTTTCCTCGACAAACAAAGCTGAGGGCATTCAGGACCACTAGGTCTACCTTAAAAAAATGCTTAACGGAGTTTTTCAAGTAAAAATGAATGAAGTTGGGAGCGGTAGCTCATGCCTGTAATCCCATTTTGGGAGGCTGAGGTGGGTGGATCACCTGAGGTCGGGAGGTCAAGACCAGCCTGGCCAACATGGCAAAACCCCACCTCCAGTAAAAATACAAAAAATTAGCCAGGTATGAAGGCCACTGAGATCGTGCCACTGCACTCCAGCCTGGGTGACAAGAGTCAAACTACATTTCAAAAACAAAAAACAAAACAAACAAAAAAAACAAAACTTGAGGCCTGGCCTTCTGCTCCTCTCCAACCTCCCCTTCTCTGGGCCCAAGCCACCTTGGCTGAGGAGGGGGCGAGGAGGTGTGAGCCCCTGCCAGGAACCCCCTGCCCGGACCAAGTGCTCGGCCCCCAGGCCTGCGTTCAGTGAGGCCTCCCGTGGCGTCAGCATGTTCGTGTGGAGGAATGTGGAAGGTCACTCTGCGGCCGTGTTCTCCTGGTACTCCATCCCCTTCCTGACCCCTCCCTGCAGCCACACGAGGCCCAGCAACCTGCCAGTCACTCAGTGGCCTCCAACCAGAGAAAACAACCTGCCAAGTTGGCAGCCGTTGCTCATGAGCGTCCACCAGGTGGGACAGGGAGTGTTGACCCTGGGCGGCCCCCTGGAGCCACCTGCCCTGAAAGCCCAGGGCCCGCAACCCCACACACTTTGGGGGTGGTGGAACCTGGTAAAAGCTCACCTCCCACCATGGAGGAGGAGCCCTGGGCCCCTCAGGGGAGTCCCTGCTGGACAGTGAGACAGAGAATGACCATGATGATGCTTTCCTCTCCATCATGTCTCCTGACACCCAGTTGCCTCTACCACTCAGATGATGTCAGGCCCAGTCCCTCAGTGCCCTGCGCAAGGAACAGGACTCATCTTCTGAGAAGGATGGACGCAGCCCCAACAAATCAGACAAGGACCACATCCGGTGGCCCATGAGTGGCGCTCATGATCTTCAGCAGGCGGCACCAGGCCCTGGCGGGGCGCACCAGGGTCACCCCAACCAGGATAACCGGACCGTCAGCCAGATGCTGAGCGAGCGGTGGTACACCCTGGGGCCCAATGAGATGCAGAAATACAACCTGGCCTTCCAGGTGAAGGTGGCCCACTTGCAACAAGGACCGAAAGAAGTCCAGCTCAGAGGCCAAGCCCACAAGCCAGGGGCTAGCAGGAGTGTAACAAGGGCTCGTGGGAGCGGAGCATATCAGAGACGGGCACGGCCACTGCCCCTGGGGTGTCCTCTGAACTCCTGTCAGTTGCAGCCCAAACACTCCAGAGCTCGGATACCAAGGAGCAGCTTCTGTGGGGCAGAACGGCTGCACACAGTCAGGGAACCTGGCTCAGCCTGGCCCAAGCCTTCTCCCACAGCGGGGTACACAGCCTGGACGGCAGGGAAATAGACCGTCAGGCACTACGGGAACTGACACAGGTGGTGTCTGGCACTGCATCATACTCTGGCCCAAAGCCTTCTACTCAGCATGGAGCTCCAGGCCACTTTGCAGCCCCTGGTGAGGGAGGTGACCCGTGGGCAGCCCTGCTGCCGCCCACGTGAGCTGCTCATTCCCAGCACATGGCCAGCGAGGTCATAGCGAGTGACGAAGAGCACACGGTCATCCATGAGGAGGAGGGGGTGATGATGTCATTGCTGATGATGGCTTTAGCACCACCGACACCGATCTCAAGTTCAAGGAGTGGGTGACCGACTGAGAGTGGGGACAACTCTGGGGAGGAGCCAGAGGGCAACAAGGGCTTTGGTGGGAAGGTATTTGCACCTGTCATTCCTTCCTCCTTTACTCCTGCCGCCCCTTGCTGGATCCTGAGCCCCCAGGGTCCCCCGATCCACCTGCAGCTTTTGGCAGTCTATGGTCACACCCTGTCCTCCTCCTACACGTACTCGGATGCTTCCTCCTCAACCTTGGCACCCACCTCCTTCTTACTGGGCCCAGGAGCCTTCAAAGCCCAGGAGTCTGGTCAACGCAGCAGAGCGGGCCCCCTACGGCCCCAACCCCTGGGGATGGGGGCCCAGGGACGCCTTCCAAGGTGGCCTGTTTCCTCCCAATGGATCCTGCCACCTTCTGGTGCAAGAGACCTGAAAGTGTGGGCGACCTGGAGCTACCAGGCTCCTCAGTCATCAGGGTCCCTCCCAACACTAAGGCTTTCCTAGGCAGGAGCTGGGCTGAGCCACCCGGGGGGCAGAGCCTGAAGAGAAACTGACTGGGCTTTCGGGGTCGGGGCAGAGGGAACCCCACGGACATGGATCCCACACTGGAGGACCCCACCGCGCCCAAATGCAAGATGAGAAGATGCTCCAGCTGCAGTCCAAAGCCCAACACCCCCAAGTGTGCCATGTGTGATGGGGACAGCTTCCCCTTTGCCTGTACAGGTGGAGAAGCCGAGGACAGGCTCAGGGAACCGGAGACCGAGAAGGCGCTGTCCTCTTCACTGCACGTACCCTGGACCAGTGCCGGCCCTGATCATGCAGCTCTTCCAGGCCCACTGCTTCTTCCTGTCCACTAGGCCACAGCCGCCCTCCAGGCCCACTATGCACACATCTTCCCCTCCAAGGTTTGTTCTGCCCCTGCCCTGACTCCCAGCCCTGTGGGGGTCCTGACCGCACCTCACCTGGCTCAGACTCTTGACGCTGCCCTGGCTGCCCCACCACTGCTTCTGCCCGAGAGTCACGTGAGGCTGAGAGTAGGGGCAGGGGCAGCAGTGGTGCCAGTTGGGGGGCGGTCCAGTGGGAGGAGCCTCAGCCTCGCAGGCTGCTCCGTGGGACTGATGACTGCATGATCTTCTGGGCACCTCACGGATCTTCAACTGCAGGTGAAACGGATGCTGGTGGTGGGTGCAGGGCCGCTGGGAGCTGCTGCATGGTTCCCAGAGGCTGGACTGAGGCAGGTGCCAACTGAAGCTGCTAGGGCAGCATGGGCAGGATGTTCTGCACACAAACCTTGGAGAAGAAGATGTGTGCATAGCAGGTCCACTGCTGCTGCCCCTGCCCTGACTCCCAGCCCTGCCTGACCCCACCTCAACCTGCTCAGGCTCTGGCACAACCCTGGCTGCCCTGCCACTGCCTCTGCCCCAGAGTTGGGGCCTTGACAGCCTGGTTGGAAGGGGACACCCCAGCCCTGCCTCAACACCTGGGGGTCTCCATAACTACCACAGGCAGGTGGGCAACCCCAAAGATCCCAGGACTCACAGTACCCCCTGAGAACATGGACAGTATGTGGGGGTAGCAATGGAGGGCAGGATGGTTATCTTCTCCCAGGTGAAGCCATTTAATCCTTTCAGTTTGGGACGGAGTAAGGCCTTCCTTTTTTTTTTTTTTTTTTTTTTTTTGAGACCGAGTCTTGCTCTGTCGCCCAGGCTGGAGTGCAGTGGTGCGATCTTGGCTCACTGCAACCTCTTCCCGCCGGGTTCACGCCATTCTCCTGCCTCAGCCTTCCGGGTAGCTAGGATTACAGGTGGACGCTACCACGTCCGGCTAATTTTTCTATTTTTAGTACAGACGGGGCTTCATCATCTTGGCCAGGCTGATTTCGATCTCCTGACATCGTGATCTGCCTGCCTCCCCCTCCCAAAGTGCTGGGATTACAGGCGTGAGCCACCACGCCTGGCCAAGGCCTGCTCCTCTTATCTATACCCCCTACCCCTGCAGCTGTGCCGGGGGAAAGCTGGGCAGTTTCCCTCCTCCGAGCCCCTGTACATACCATGAATTGTGGGACCTTCAGAGCTTTTCACTTTTCGGAAAATAGCTCCTGCTGGGGCTACAAGATGGAGTGTGAAGAGGGCCTTGGGCCACAGGGAGGCGCCTGTGGACTAGGGGGAGTTCATGCACCCCTTCTTTCCCCAGAGGGGCTGGACTCAGGTGAGTATGGGGGTGGGGGCTCCTGCACTTCGACACAGGCAGCGGGAGGGTTTTCTCCCCATTCCCTCTGCACTCCCAACTTGAGCTATACTTTTTAAGAAAGTGATTCACCCTGCCTTTGCCCCCTTCCCCAGAACAGAACACGTTGATCGTGGGCGATATTTTTCATTGTGCCAAAAAGTTGCCATGACCGTCATTAAACCTGTTTAACACCAAATAATAAGGAAAATAAAATAAAAAATTCGGGCTTGGCGCAGAAACTCACTCCAAATAAATTACCTATCAAAATATTTACATAATGGTGGAAATATTCCAAAATTCAATATTTTGGGATTTATACACAAAAGATAAACAAATTAGAGGCCAAGAGGCTGCCGGAAGGGAAAAACGGGGCCTGGAATGGCCGACGTGAGGAATGAGCTGGGCCTAAAGAGGCCACTGGCAGGCAGGAGCTGGACCTGCCGAAGTGGCCGAAAGGCAGGAGCTTTGGACTGGGGAGGCCGCAGTGAGGCGAGAGCTAGCTGGGCGTGG